>NW_018654709.1:0-181658 GCF_000001405.40 Homo sapiens | reverse complement strand
TTCAGACATTTCTGCATATTTCATATAAATGGAATCAGACACTCACATGATGGCCTTTTTCATTAGAATTCTTTTGGAACGTAGGAAGTCTGTGAGACAAACTGATTGAAACTTTAACTTAATATGGGAAAATTTTCAGGTATCTTAATAAAATAGTTTCAGTGTTTGGACATGAATTCACGTCACACAAATGGCTGCCAAAATAGAGTGGAATTTGGAGATAAGAGGTTTGGGTTTAGGATCTACCTCAGCTCAGTGTGTTGGCTTTGTAATGCTAAGGAAAAAATTCAAGATAATGCTCGGGGTCCGCAGAATGATCACTTTACACCACCTTGAGGTCCAGTCTTAGAATGTTCCTATCTAGTAGGTTGTGGTTCAGGAACAAGTCTTAATTCAGGGAGCCTCAGCTGGGCAGTTCCATCCATGCAGTCCTAAGAGCCATAATAATAATAATATGTTTATTTTATTTATTTGCTGTTTAAACACCAAAACCCCTGTTAAATTGACCATTTGATCCACAACTTTGTGCAGTGCGTTACATCTTTCCATATTCACATGATAGCAAAATTCCCTTTCTTTCCAGCATGCCAATGAGGAAACAGAGGAAAACAATGAGGAAAAAGAGTAATAATAATAGTAGTAATAAGAGTAATGATAATAAAAGGAGATGACTACTTATATAATATGATCTGAAGGTCATCATAAGACCCAGTGCCAACTCAAATTTATTCTACTGTCACTTGCATCCAAAAATTTGACTATTAAACTTATCCTTTGCATAAAGACATTGCTTCCAGAATATCACTGCTGAACTACGTTCATCTTTCTTAGTGGCTAATATGGTCTTACACTTCTGTGTGCTGTGCAGTCAAGACTGATGTTTTCAGCTGAGGGCTTGTATCACAGCACCAGGTCCACATGAAGGTTCTGCCATTACCAGTAGAAATCAGCATAATTCTCCTCCGACTGCTGAGCATCAAAGTCTGAACCTTCTGGGTGCCACCTGATGAAACAATTTTGCCATGCCCATGAAATCTGGTTAGCACTGTTACTTCTTGCACTAACCAATCCTAAATCCAAGGTCCCAGGCTCTCGCAGCTCTGCTCTCAAGCCTTCTGGCTTTCTTTCCCTGCCTACCAGTGGCTCACGCCGCAGAAACAAAAACAGAGCCCTCTTAAGTGCCTAAGCTCTGGCATCTGCAGGCTTTTTGTAATTTCTGGCTCTCTACATATTAGGTTGGTGCAATTACTTTTGTACCAATCTAGTACAAGCTGGGTGACTGTGGAGAAGGAAGTTCCCTTACCTCACCCTTCTAAGCCTCTGTTTCCTCATTGGCATGCTGGAAAGAAAGGGAATTTTGCTATCATGTGAATATGGAAAGATGTAACGCACTGCACAAAGTTGTGGATCAAATGATCAATTTAACAGGGGTTTTGGTGTTTAAACAGACATCCAGGCATGCTTCACTAGGCTGGGAAAGGGCTTTGTACATTATAGCCTGCTAAGAGAGGGCTTGAAATATTTCATATAAAAATGAAAATGAAATGAATAGAATTCCATAATAGCTACCATTCACAGCAACATAAGAGATAGGAGTTATCCACATTTAATGATGAGAACACTAAACCACCAAGAGGTTAATGGGTCCAAGGTCACACAGCTAGTCAATGATGGGGCTAGGATGTGAACCCAGACAGCTTAGCTCCAAAGCCTGTGCTATCAAACAGTTGGCTATATTTCCTAAAAAAATTATCTATAAAAGCATTTCAATAAGGTGTATTATTGCTGATGGTAAAAATTGGTTCAATGGGAGTCAATAAGGAGGGCATTTCTGCCTGTTCTGGCAATGAAACTGTGGTACCCCACGAGGAAATGCATTCTGTAGCAATAAATGTGTTCAAGCAGTGATTGGAAGATGCTACTTGTACACAGTAAAATAGGTTTCCACACTGAAAATGGCAGGAGGGAATTGATGAGCCCAGGGTTTACTTCTAATATCCCATGAATACAGACCTCTGTATTCTGGACTAAAGCTGCCACTTTCTGCATGACTCCAGTGTGTCTAGCCCTCTGCTGGATCCTTCACATATAGCAATTCTAATCTTAACAAAGTCCTGCAAATGGCTGCTGTCATTCCCATTTTGCAGATGGGGACATTAGTCTCAGATACAGACACAATTAGTAACAAATGAGAATCAATCATCTCAGGCTTTCAAATTTCAAAGCTCACATTCTTTAAAAGCCACTTTTGTGGAATATTAAATTTCTCAACAACAGCAAGGAAATAAGGCAACTGTGCAGGAGGACTTGCCTGATTCATTCCTTACTGTGCTTTTTTTAATTGTTATAATATTAATGCCGATGAGGGAGGTGATCACATTCATAATCATAATTTGAATACCATGCTAATTGGCTTTTATTGCTGCTTGGGAATGGGTCAGGGTTGTACATGGAATATTTAAGTTGAAATGTCGTTTCCAATACTTAATAGAATCCAATTAGGGTTTTATTGATTAATTAATATCTACATGAAGTATACTATTTTTCTAAAGGCCAGTAATGTGCATGACTGTTCCCTAAATGTTAACATATTCAGATAATTATAACTGCAACATCTTTCTGTTTAGACTGAGTTATTTGCCATTACTGAGGTTTCAAATTCATGGAAAGTAATCTTTTAAAATAAAAATGATACTTAAATAATCTAAAATAATTGTTATAGATAATCTGTCTCAAATACCCATTGATTTATGGCTAGCTGAACATGCTAGCACTTTCCTACAACAGAAGCTCATTTTTAAGTGTTTTCAATGAAACAAAGACAGGGTGAATACAAATCAGACCTTATGGCCAATGGGCGCTGCAGTGTTTTAAGGTTAAACGCATTGTTTAAGGAATTTCAGATGATGGTATAGCAGCATGAATAAGAAATACAAGCTTAATATTCAGACCAATCATATTCAAGTAGTGTTTCATTAAATCCTGTCTCGTGTCAGTTGATAGCTGTTTGCTATCACCACTTATTTCTCTGAAAAGAGCCAAGCTGAGACTGAAAGTTACTTACGCACTCAGTTCCAGACATCAGGTAATAAACTCCAAGAAATTTGGAGCAGGCAAAAACATTCAGCAAGTCCTATTAGCTGCGCCAGTGCATACGGGTCATTGGTACTGGGTCAGCTCTTCCATCATTAATACAAAGACAGAAAGTACATATTTATTGTTATGGGGCAAATTAAAAGAATGATGTATCAGAGACATATATAGCTTTCAAACTATATTCTGATGGGGATGAAGTGACTGGTGATCTGGAAATATTTTCTAGTTTCTTTCAAAATAAATACTGACCAGCCTGGGCAACCATAGTGAGATCCTATCTGTACAAAAAAAAAAAAAAAAAAAAAAAAAAAAGTCAGGCATAGTGGTACATGCCTGCAGTACCAGACACTTGCGGGGCTAAGGTGGGAGGATCACTTGAGCCTGGGAAGTCCAGGCTGCAGTGAGTCATGATCATAGAGAGAAAGACTCTGTATGGGCAACAGAGCAAGACCTTTTTTAAAAACAAACAAAAAAAGCAACATAAATATTGAGCATTTACTGTGGAAAAAATGTTTTGCACACAAATTGGTGGCACACAAATGTGTGAAAATGAGTATTATCTCATATTATTTATGTCCCGAGTACTGTACCATGTATGGTTCAAATTTCAGAAATAACTTCATAAGGGAGTATAGTTATTCTCATCTTAAATACCAAGGTGATAACTACCTTAGACAAAGTTATGTAACTTGTCTGAGATCACTTAGCTGTATCAAAACTCTAAAGCCTGGCCTTATTAGAATTGCCTGAGAAAAAATTAAAAAGTCTTGCACCATACCTTCGCAGTTGAAACTGAATCTTAGAGATGGGATTAAAGCACCTGCAGTATATTAGTTAGGGTTTTCCAGGAGTTTTGAGGGGTGGGGGTATATTTATTATAAGAAATTGGCTCATGTGATTATGGAGAATAAAAAGTCCTGAGGTTTTTTGTTGGCAAGCTGGAGACCTAGGACAGCCAGTGGTTCTAGTCTGAAGGCCAGCAGGCTTGAGATCCAACAAGAATCAATAAGTTATTTCAGTTCAAGTCCAAAGGCAGAAAATGTCCCAGCTGAAGATGGTCAGGCAGGAGGAGTTCCCTCTTACTCTCACTGTGGAGTGGGCTGTCAGCCTTTTTGTTCTATTCATGCCTTCAGGGGATTGGGTGTGGCCACCCACACTGGAGAGGACAATCTGCTTTACCCAGTCTACGGGTTCACATGTTCATCTCATTTAGAAACACCCTCACAGACCCACCCAGAATAATGTTTGACCAAATATCTGGGCACCTCTTAGTCCAGTCAAGATGATATACAAAATTAATCATCACAAGCAGTTTTGAAGCTCTCGCTGGGTAATTAAGCTGTCAAAAGCCCTGGACTACCTCCTATCACTTTACTCAGTGTTTTTAAATTTGGTTGCACATTGAAAGCACCCAAGGAGTTCTAAAAATTGCTAATACCGAGTCCCACTCCTGGGGATTCTGATTCAATGTGTCTGAGTCTTACGTGCAGTCAGAGCTAACAACCACAGCTAGAACCCTTGTTCTGAAATGTGGCTGGTGACCCTTTGCTCCCAGCCATCAGGCATCGTCATTTTGCCTTTCTCAGGTGGCATGCCAATTTTCACCCCAGACTGTTGGCCAGGGACCAAAGTGCACCCAGAACTTTTAGACCTATGCAAAAACAGCCCTGTTATATTCTGTAGCTATCCCCACTCCATTACTGGGGGAAAAGTTTTTCCCAAGGAGACACAGGCCTGTTTCACTTTTGTGGAGATATCTGGAAAGTTTTTGTATTTGACCTTCCAGCCAACCCCTCATGAGTCACCTCAGTCACACCGACACATTTGCAAATTGCTGCAACAAAAAAGTCCAGAAGTGGCCATTGGTGATATAATACTGTATTTTACAGACTTTCCACATCCGCACACTTGCTGCATAGAGAATTTCCACACCATGGCTGCTGCTTGTGTGAAAGTTGCAGCAGCTATGCTGAAATAGAATGTGTGTGGATACAGGAAGGGAGACTGGGTCAAGAGAGTCTGGATTCCAAATATTTTCAAGCCCCTTCAGCAAGAAAAAAAATCAGTGTTTTGTGCAGGATGCACTCAACAATTATCATTAATGAAACCAACTTCTGCTTTTTAGCATCTGCTATGTGGCAACCATGGTTCAATGCTGCTAGCAGGCACTGAGTCTGAGATGTGTCTCTGTTCTCATAGGAGCTTAAAACATCAATGCAGCACAGACAACCTCACATGGAGCAAGTAGAGAAAGGACATGGAACCACAGGAGAGCCACAGGGATGCAGAAGAGAGAGATATGAATCAAAGGTGTTTAGCGGAACCTGGACTGGGTCTTTTTCAAAAGAAGGTATCTAGATATGGTAGGGAGGGATGGAGAAAGAACTTTCCAGATAGGGAACACAACTGGAGTAAAATTCTGAGATTGGGGAATGAGAACAAGAGGTGAACAATGAAGAAACTTGCCACTGGTAGAGATGTCTGGTGGAGTTGACCACCCTGTCTTTATATATATATAGACTTTTCCCCAAAAGAAATGGCAAAAACCCATGTTACTCTATACCTATCTCTTTTATAGCTCAATTAGCCATCTTTATATTTGTTTACTTATTGAGTTTTCTCTCCAACTAGCATGTCAATTTATTTTTAGAAAGAACTGTTTCTTATGAATTGTTTTTTTTTTTCTGGCTTCTAGCTAAGTGTCCAGCATGGAGCAGATGCTCAGTAAACAAATGCTTAGGGAATGAGTGAATGAACAAATTAGTGAACAGCCTATTCAGTAGGTAGAGGTTGTAAGCAATATACTTTTCCATTTCATATGCATCTTGAGTGAAAAGTAGAGCTTAGAGAAAAAAATGTCAACTTTTATAACAGTACTCAATTTTGCTACTTGAATGTGCCAGTTATTAATACTAATAGATATAGTATATTCATATATTTGACCTTTATACAGTTTTCTTCTAATTTAAAATAACTTCAAAAATTGATGACACTGTATTTTGGATTCAATTACAGACATTTGTTTGGCTTCTAGAAGTTTGTGTCCTAAGAGCAGTGAGGATTTGCAAGAAAAAGATGTAGTACAACATTTAATTTATGTTGTCTATCTGAATTACAGTTTCACTGTTTTGGTCTCTTCTACCTTCTTACTTCTTCATTACAGACATTCATTCATTTTTACATTCAAGCACTGAGTAAACAAAGATGAGTAAGACTCTCTGCACCTGGCACCCTGTGGCTAAATATATCAATCAGGGTCAATAAAATAGAAAACAAATACACAAAAATATTTAAACACATTTTATAAATACAAATGATGAAATGCATAGGTGAAATGAGTTATAAGTATATAATTCAGCAAGCTTTGGTAATGTATACCCCATGTAACTAACACCACAGTCAAGGCATAGAGTATTTCCATCAAACAAAAACATTCCTGATACCTCATTCCTGTAAATTCTCACCTCTTACAGGAAACAATGTCCCAATATGTAATAACCAAAGGTAAGTTTGCTCTTGAAATTTTTAGAAATAGAATTATATAGTATGTGGTTTGTGCCTGGTTTCTTTCACCCAACATATTGTTTCTGAGATTTATTTATATACTTGTGACTTCTCTCTTGGAGAACTCAACTATATAACTAAATATATATATAGATGAGCAGTATTCCATTATATAAAAATAGGGTAGTTTTTGACTCATTCTTCTGTGGATGTACACTTGGATTGTTTCCAGACTTTGGCTACTGTAAATGAAGCTGCCATAAAATAAACATTCTGAGGCAATTTATTTGTGAACATTTATTTTTATTTCTCTTGTGTAAATACCTAAAAGTAGAAATGTTGGGCCATAGAATAGGATTTCTGTAATGGCTGACATTGCCTCAAACTGCCAACGTTTTTTCCAAAGTGGTTGTAGCATTATATACTACCACCAGCAATTTATGATAGTTCTAATTATCCCATGTACTTGTCCATGTTAGGTTTTAGCAGGCTTTTTAATTTTAGTTATTTTGTAGTGATTTTTCACTGTAGTGCTAATTTGAATTTCCCTGGTGGCTAACAATGTTGAGGTTCTTTTTCACATACTTTGAAGGCCATTCCTATGTATTCCTTTGTAAAGTGTTCACATCTCTTGCTCATATTGAAATTAGATTGGTTGTCCTTTTACTATTGATTTTTATACATTATTTCTCTATTTCAAACATAAGTCTCTTTTTTCAGATATATATTATGAATATATTTTCTAAGTCTTTGCCTTGCTTTTTCACTTGCAGAACCATGTATTTAATAAGCAGAAGTTTTTAATTTTGTTGAAGTTTTAAATTTTGTTGAATTCCAATTTATTATTTTTTATTTACAGTTAATACACTTTGAGTCATTTTAGGCAATCTTTATTTACATCAAGGTCATGAAGACATTATTCTGCTTTCTTAAATGAGCTTTATAGTTTTAATTCTACTTTAGTATATGATCCATTTTGAATTAATTTTTATGTATGGTGTGATGCAAGAATAAAGGTTCTTATTTTTACATATTTTTATCTAGTTGTTCTAGCATCATTTTTTAAAAAGAGATTATCTCATTACCATTGAATTACTTTGCTATTGTAAGAGCAAGGAAATAAATAATGTCAATTGATATTTTAGCACTTAAAAAAAAAACACCTGAAACACGTGTATTCAGAAATACACTGTTCTATTCCATGGCCCATTTCTTTGTCCTTATGTAGTACATTGTCTTCATTACTATAACTTTTCAATAAGGTTTTTTTGAGATGGAGTCTCACTCTGTCACCCAGGCTGGAGTGCAGTGGCGTGATCTCTGCTCACTGCAACCTCTGCCTCTGGGTTCAAGCAATTCTCTGCCTCAGCCTCCCGAGTAGCTGGAATTACAGGTGTGCGCCACCACGCCCAGCTAATTTTTTGTATTTTTAGTAGAGACGGGGTTTCACCATGTTGGCCAGGCTGGTCTCAAACTCCTGACCTTGTGATTCCCCCCCTACCTCGGTCTCTCAAAGTGCTGGGATTACAGGTGTGAGCCACCGCACCCAGCCTTCAGTAAGTTTGGAAAGACAGTAGTGAAGCCTTTGATCTTCTTTTTAAAAATTGTTTTGGGCATTCTGGGGCTTTTCTGTTTCCAAATATTTTTTAGAATCTACTCAATTTCTACAAAAAAAGTTTTCTTGTAAATTATAGACTACTAATTTATATTGACGAGTTTGCTTAGAGTTTCAGACTCTAAGTACAGAAAAGGATTGACAAATTTTTTTTCTGAAGAGAACATGGTAGTAAATGTTTTAAGTTTTATGGATCATATACAGTTTCTATTAGTTTTTTTATCTTTTCAACCATTTAAAAATGTAAAAAAATACTAGCTTCTAGGTTATATAATAACAGGAAGCAGACTAAATTTGATCTGTGAGCCATAGTTTGCCAATCCCTAGCATAGATTAACTTAAAAAAATGAATATTTTTAAAAAATTGAGTTTTCTAGTCCATGACTGTGGGATGTCTCTTTTTTATTTGAATCTATTCTATCTCAAGTGGTATTTTGTAGTTACTATTATTGAGCTTTTACATATCTTTTGTTAAATTTATTAAGTACATTAGGTAGTTTTATTATTATTTTAATTGTGGTAAAATAAAAATAACAAGTTATCATCTTAAGCATTTTTTATCTTTATAAATTTAAGAGGTACAAGTGCAGTTTGTTACATTAGTATGTTGTGTAATGGCAAAGTCTGGGCTTTTAGTGTAACCATCACCCGAACAATGTACAAGGTACCCATTATGTACTTCCTCATCCCTCACCCCCCTCTCACCCTCCTACCCTTTAGAGTCTCCAGTGTCTATTATTCCACTCTCTGTGTCCATGTATACACATTATTTAGCTCCCATTTGTAAGTGAGGATGTGTGGTATTCGACTCTCTGTGTTATTTCACTTAGAATAATGGCCTCCATTTCCATCCATATTGCTGCAAAAGACACAATTTCACTCTCTGTTATGGCTGAATAGTATTCCATTGTGTGTATATATGTGTATGTGTGTAATATATACACATACACACACACACATAACACTTTAAAAATCCAGTCATCTGTTATGAACACTTATGTTGATTCCATATTTTTGCTTTTGTAAGTAAAGCTGTAATAAACACATGAGTGCAGGTATCTTTTTGTTACATTGATTTATATTCCTTTGGGTAGATACCCAGTAGTGGAATTGCTGGATAGACTAGTAATCCTATATTTAGTTCTTTGAGAAATCTTTTTACTATTTCCCATAGAAGTTGTACTACTTTACATTCCCAAGAACAGTGTATAAGCATTCTCTTTTCTCTGCATTTGTTTGCTGATGATAAGATCTTATATCTAGATTATCCTAGACTCCTCCAAAAAACTATAGAATTTAATAAATGAATTCAATAAAGTTTCAGGATATAAAATAAGTGTACAAAAATCAGTAACATTTCTATATACCAATAATGACAAAGCTGAAAATCAAGTCAAGAAGGCAATTTCATCTACAATAGCTACAAGAAAAAATACCTTGGAATATACTTAACCAAGGAGATAAAAGATCTCTACAAGGAAAATTACAAAACACTGATGAAAGAAATTTTAGATGCCACAAACAAATGAAAAAACATACTCACAGAGCAGAAGAAATAATATTATTAAAATGACCATATTAGCCAAAGTAACCTACAGATTCAATGCAATCCTTATCAAAATACCAATGTCATTTTTCATGGAATTAGAAAAATAATTCTAAAACTTAGATGGAACCAGAAACGAGCTCAAATAGCCAAAGCAATCAAAAGCAAAAAGATCAAAGCTAGAGGTGTCACATTACCTGACTTCAAACTATACTACAAAGCTATAGTAACCAAAATAGCATGGTACTGGTATAAAAATTTTACACATTTTTAAATGTGCAGTTCAATGTCTTTAAGTACTTTCACACTGTTATACAACCATCATCACCATCCATCTCCAGAACTCTTTTCATCTTGCAAAACTGAAAGTCTGTACTCATTAAAAAATAATTAAAGAAAAATAACTCCCCCATTTTCCCTTTCCCCCATCCTCTGGCAACCATCATTTTCTTTCTGTCTCTATGAATTTGAGTACTCTAGGAAGCTCATGTAAGAAGAATCATACAGTATTTGTTCTTTTTCGACTGGCTTATTTTACTTAACATAATGTCCCAGGGTTTATCTATGTTGCTGCAGGTGTCAGAATTACCTTCTTTTTAAGACCAAACAATAGTCCATTTTATGTGTATAGCACATTTTGTTTATGTGTTTGTTGATAGACATTTGGATTGTTTCAATCCCTTGACTATTAAGAATGCTGCTGCTATGAACATGAGTATATAAATATCTATTTGAGCCATTGCTTTCAATTCCTGTGGTTATATATCCAGAAGTGGAATTGGGGGATGATATGGTAATCCTATTTTCAATTTTTTGAGGAACTACCATAGTGATCCCTACTAGCTTTACCATTTTACACTTCTATCAACGGTGCATAAGGGTTTCAATTTCTCCACATTCTCACTAACAGATCTTATTCTTCTTTTTAATTGTAGACACTCCAATAGGTGTGAGATGGGTGTAAGTTTCTTTTGATGCTATTTTAAATGGAATAATTTTCTACTGAGACTTCTATTTTTCTTGCTAATAAATAGAAATACTGTATTTTCCATGCTTAATAAATGTACCTATTAGTTTTAGAAGTTTGTTTCACTTTGGTTTTAGATTCCATATAGGTTTCTACATACACAATAGTGCCATCTGTAAATAATAGCAGCTTTACTTCTTCATTTTCACTAGTTATTCCTTTTACATCTTTTTGTCTTATTGAACTTGTCAGGAGGTACATTACAATGTTGATTCAAAGTATGAAAGGAGATATTGTCACCTTATTTTTGATCTTTTGGAAAATTTCTAAAAACTTTATCATTAAATATAATAGTAGTTGTAGGGTTTTTGTAGATTTCCTTTTCCGTATTGAAAAAGTTCCCTTTTATTCTGAGTTTTCTGTTTTTATCATGAATGGATTTTGACTTTTAGCAAATACTTTTTCTACTTTATTGTGATAACACTTAACATGAGATTTACCTTCTTAGCCAATGTTTTAAGTATATAATACAACACTGTTTTCTCCAAACACAATGTTGTACAGCAGAGCTCTAGAATTTACTCATTTTGCTTAACTGAAACTTTATGCCAGTTGATTTATGATTTCCATTTTTCTCTGTTTCCAGCCCTGAACAACCATCATTCCACTCTTTGATTCAATAAATTTGACTATTTTAGACACCTCATATTAAGTGGAATTATACAGTACTTATTTTTCTATGACTGGCTTATCTCACTTAGCATAATGTTCTCAAGATTCATCCATGCATATTTCAATGTCCTTCTTGTTGAAGGCTGAACAGTATTCTACTGTACGTTAATGCCTCATTTTGTTTATTTGTCTGTCAATGGACATTCAGGCTGTTTTTACATCTCAGCTATTATGAATAATGGTGCAATAAGCAGGGAAGTGTAGATATCTCTTCCAGATTCTGATTTCGATTCTTTTCAATAAACACCCAGAAGTGGATTGCTAAATTTTATGTTAGTTTTATATTCTACATCTATTGAGACAATTTTTTCTTCTTCTTTAAATGTGACAAATAACATTGATTTTTTTAAAATGTTGAATCAATCTGGACTACCTGAGATAAGCCTTACTTGGTATATATTGTATATTTTTAATGTACAGATATTCCTTGACTTACAATGGCGTTTCATCCAGATAGACCCATAAGCCACAAATTTATTTGATAATAAAAAAATTGTTAATTCTAACCATCATAAATCAGGAACTGTCTGTATTGCTAAATTTGTTTACTGATATTTAGTAAAGAATTTGGTAAAGAGAGGTATTAGTCCATATTATTTTTCTTTCTGATAATACTTTTTTAGGTTTTGGTATCAGGATTATGCTGCTTCAAAATTTTTTTCAGAAAGAAAAGATGTGTAGAGTTTGTTTAGGATTGGTATTATTTCACTCTTAAAAGTTTAGTAGCATTAACCAGGATAATTATTTTGTATTTTATTTGTGAAAAGCTGGTTTTAAATTTTGAGTTTACTTTCTTTACTAAATGTAAGACTGTTTGAGTTTTCTATTTCTCTTTGAGTCAGTTTTATTACTTGTGTTTCTAATATGCCCATCATCTGAGTTGTCAAATTAAAAAACTTTGTTCAGAATCATTACTTACCATTTTAATGTCTGTAGGATAAGTAGAGATACTGTCTACTTTATTTCTGATGGTGTTTTTTAAATTCTTTTTTATAACTTTGCTGTTGCTTGGATGTTTTCAATTTTATTAATTTTTTTTAAAGAATCAACTTTAGGCTCTATTAATTTTTCTCTCTTCCTTATGTCATTGATTATTACTCTTATTATTATTATTTTCTTCCATTTTGAGTTTAACTTGCTTTTCACTTTCTACTTCTTAGAGAGAAAATGCATGTAAACCTTTCTTTTTTTCTATAAGTATTTGCATCTATAAAATTTCATCAAAACACTACTTTGACAGAATTCTACATTCTGAAATGCTCTTTTTAATATCATTTAGTTCAAAATATTTTCTAATTCATCTCCAATTTTTTTGTCCAATTTATTGTTTTGAGGTATTTTGCTTAATTTCCAAATATTTGGGTTTTTTTTCACCAAATATACTAATACCACTAAATGTTAATGTAATTATGTTGTGGCTGAAGCTTATATGATAAAATACTATAATTTTTTAAATTTGTTAAGACTTATTTTAATGGCCCCAAATTTAATCTATCTTGTTAAAGATTCCAGGTGTTATTAAAATAAACTTACATTTATTGAGTGTAATGTTCTATAAATGTTAATATTGGTTAATAGTGGTGTTCAAATTTTTAATGTTCTTACTTTTTTTCTAATTATTTTATTGGTTACTAAAAGATGGATGTTTAAAGTGGCCTAAAGATCAGTGATCCACCTTAGACTAATTAAATCAAAATCACTGGAAATGTACTCCCCGCAAGTAATTTTAATTTGTCAGAAAGATTGAGAACTACTGTTCTAGAGAAAAAAGGAAATTCTTATTGAAACTGTTTGTTGATAGAAACCACTTCTTTTTATTTTTTAATTATTATTATTATTTTGAGACAGGGTCTCATTCTTAGGGCCTTTCTCTGTTACCCAGACTGGAGTGCAGTGGTACAATCTCAGCTCACTGCAACTTCTGCCTCCTGGACTCAAGCGATCTTCCCACTTCAGCCTCCCAAGTAGGTGGGACTACAGGCATGTACCACCACACCTGGATAATTTCTGTATTTTTGTAGGGATGGGTTTTCACCATGTTGCCCTGGCTGGTCTCAAACTCCTGAGCTCAAAGTGATCCTCCTACCTCAACCTCCCAAAGTGCTGGGATTACAGGTGTGAGCTACTGCACCCAGCAGAAACCATTTCTGTAATTACAGTCATGTGCTGCATGATGTTTTAGTCAAGGACGAATATATGTGACAGTGGTCACATAAGCTGATAATGGAGCTTAAATATTCCTATTGTTCAGTGACATCACAGCCATCATAACATCATAGTACAACTTAGGTATCTGTGATGATGCTGGGGTAAACAGACCCACTGCATTGCCAGACATATAAAGATGTAGCACATACATCTATGTATCATGCAGAATACTTGATAATGATAGTAAATGGCTATGTTATTGGTTTATATATTTATTATACTATACTTTTTATCATTTTTTAGAGTGTACTGCTACTACTTATAAAAAATATTAACTGTAAAAAAGGCTCACACAAGTTCTTAAGGGGGAATTCCAGAAGAAGGAATTATTATCATAGGATGACAGCTCCATGCATGCTATTGCCCCTGAAGACCTTCCAGCGGGGACAAGATGTGGAGGTGGTGATGATGATCGTGACTTAGTGTAGGTCTAGGCTAAGGCGTGTGTTTGTTCTTAGTTTTTAACTGAACATGTTTAAAAAGTTAAAAAAAATAAAAATTAAAAATAGAAAAATGAATATAGACTAAAGATACAAAGATAATTTTTTAAACAGCTGTATAATATGTCTATGTTTTAATCCAATATTATTATAAAAGAGTAAAAATGTTATAAAAATTAAAAAGTATAAAGTAAATTTAGAGTAAGCTATGGTTAATTTATTATTGAAGAAAAATATTTTTAATAAATTCAGTGTAGCCAAAGTGTACAGCATTTGTCAAGTCTTCAGTAGTTTACAATAATGTTCTATGCCTTCACATTCACTCATCAGTCATTCTCTGACTCACACAGAGTAACGTCCAGTCCTTCAAGCTTCATTCATAGTAAGTGCTCTATACAGATGTGTAGCATTTTTATCTTTAATATTGTACTTTTACTGTACTTTTTTATGTTAGATATTTATAGATACACAAATACTACCATTGTCTCACAATTGCCTGTAGTATTCAGTACAGTAACATGCTGTGTAGGTTTGTTAGCCTCAGAGTGATAAGCTACACCATATAGCCCAGGTGTGTAGTAGGCTATTTTATCTAGGTTTATGTAAGTACACTCTATGATCTTCCTACAACAATAAAATCATCAAATGATGCACTTCTCAGAATGTATTTCCATTATTAAGAGATATCTTAATAATGGAATGTCTGTATGTTGCTTAAAACATGCAAAAAATAGATGGAGAATTGTAAAAGCAATACAAATGTAAGAATTACACACAAAACCACAAAACCAGTGTGATTCAAATTAGCAACATTTATTTAGTGTCTAATGGTCTGCTGAAACAACATCACTAGTGTTGATTTTACAATGAAAAGATATAGCTGCAGGTTCTGTTTTATATTTAATCTGTTTTTGAATTTCGAGTTCAGTAATAATGTCCTTTAAGTATGCTAAATTATATTAATAAGAGCATTGCTGCTTGATTAAGAATAAGTATCCTTTGTCCTTAACAAAAATTCTTCCAGCAAGCAATTCTTGCATGCTAATTTTAATGAAAGCTAAAGTTCAAATCTCAGTATTTGATCATTGCCTCCTTTCCAGATTATGTGAGTTTATACTTTCCTCTTATTGGTTTGTAGAAAAACAAAATTGTTTTCAACCCAGTGCAGGAGCATTAAATATTCCGGAATAGTGGGTCCCCATTTAGTGGATCCAGCTACCCCAATCCATTGAGTTTTTCCTTTGCCATTGATAGCATGAGCACCGTAGGGCTTTTCTAAATCCTGAAGAACACTGGGCTCAGAGGCTGGTGCTTTGAGGTGAGATAACATTCAGGTCTGTAGTTCTTGATCCCAGTCACTGCAAAATATCCTTGCTTGAGTAAGATTTATAGTTTCTGCACAACTGAAAGTCTGTCACACAAAATGGTTCCTAATCATACCACCATTTTCAAGGGATAATGCTTGCAAGCAAGGATGGTGAGCTGGCTGGACTTCAGGCATCCCAAATGCTCAGGCTCCTCTGCCAATGGCAGATTCTGTTTTACTGTGCTTGTGGAAGGTATGTGTGTGCCAAGCACTTGAACATGGCTTACAGGTATTACACACCTCACATAATAACACTGTAAAAATTGTTTGGCGTAGTTGCAGATAAGGTTAGGATTATAGTGTTATTAAAGCTTGCTTTAATGCATTTATTTATGGAGTCAGGAACATAAAACTCCTTATTGCTTACTTATTACTGTATATGCTACCAGGAAAACTGTGGAGAGAGTAAAACAGAGATAAGAACAAAGTAATGCATCAACCTCTGTATCAGTTCAACCAAAGAAATACCACCAGGAGAGATAAAGGGACTCATTGCAGAGAACTGACTTACACAATTGTGGGAACCAGTTGTGCATTCTCTGTAAAGCTGTTGTTTTTGCTTCTGACACTGGAGCTTGAAGTCCACCTGACAGGCAGACAGAAAGGTAAGAGAGGTGTTTAGAGGGGTAAATCATGGGTAGGCAGGAGCTCACAGCATGGGCTAAAATCTCATAAGTATGGACTAAAACAGTAGCTCCTCTTGCCTGTGACATTGGTCACATGGGTGCCCTTTAGAAATTGAAACCCTTTATCACAGAGCTAAGCACAAACATATGGCCCAGGAGTCAGGAATCTGAAGAAGGATCCAGGGAACGAAGGGACAGGTGCAGGCATTGCTGCAGCCCCTCACTAACGGGGTGAGTGAGCAGATTTGTCACAATGGGTGTGGGGTACATGTTGACTATTCCTTCCCTCCTGTCCTCCACATCTAACAAGAAACCCCCTTACAGTTCACCCTAACTGCAACCATGCAAGAAAAATTCTGAGAAATGTATTTTAGCCTACCCAAGTTGACACAATGTCACTAAACTGCAAAGGTTTAGTTTCTTCAAGAGTTCACCATTAAATCTTGATTTAAAAGCTATTATTTGCCAGGCATTGTAGTAAATGCTGAGGGGATAGTACAGGTGGTGGGGCTCAGAACTTCACGCCCATGGAAGTCTTGACCAGCCAGTTTATCCTATAGCGATGCCAATGCACTTTAGCTCAGTAAAAGTATAATCTTAGGAACAAAAGCAGACTCTGGAATCCCAAGTCAGAATTCCATCTTTAGGTGGCTGTAAAATAATCCTAATTATTGTGTTATATTGTTTGGATTACTATTAAAATAAAAAGTAAACAATTAGAACTGTTGTGTTTTCAGTTAGAAATGTCATAGAAATTACAGACCCCCAATGTGAAAGGCAAATGCCTCACATGATTGATACAATATTAATTCAGACAATAAACCCAATAAGCAGTTACCAAGTGTTGCCCTGTGCCAGGTAGTGATAAGGCTGGAGCCACAGAATTAAATCATAAGTTCTGTACACATGGAGCACTCATAATCTGAGATAAGCAGTCATCTGTTCACTGAAATTTCTGTGGTCAGGCAACATCATAGTATCAGAGTTTTGGAGAAGTGTTACAGTTTCTGGGGCTTTCCTGAAGCAAACTAGAGTGTCCCTCTATCTCCCTTTACTCAATTACCACTGCAGCCTAAAGAGAGAACTATGTGAGTTCCTGGCCACTTCTGGTGTTTGCGTGATGACTTTCTCTCTGAGAGTCTTCCTGTGTTTCATCAGCAGTTGTCCGTGCCTGTTTGTGCAACCTTTTGCTTAAAGCTGAAAAATAGGACATGGCAATCCAAAAGCATCTGCAGAGTATGCATAAAGATTAGTATAGGCCTGGCATGGTGGCTCATGCCTGTAATCTCTGCACTTTGGGAAGCCAAGGTGGGTGGATCACTTGAGGTCAGGAGTTTGAGACCAGCCTGGCCAACATGGTGAAACGCTATCTCTACGAAAAATACAAAAAATTAGCCAGTCATAGTGGCAGACTCCTGTAATCCCAGCTACTTGGGAGGCTGAGGCAGGAGAATTGCTTGAACCCAGGAGGCAGAGGTTGCAGTGAGCTGAGATCGCACCACTGCACTCCACGCTGGGTGACACAGCGAGAATCCATCTAAAAAAAAAAAAGATTAGTTCAATGTAAAATATCCCTTTTAGGTTGTGTACAGCCTTGATGTTGTCTCCATTGTGTTTTGGTAACATCTGACTCATACTGGTTCTCGAGGAGGCACTGAGGGCCAGTGGACTTGCTAAGATTTTAATGTGGCAAATTGCTTTCACTTCTTTATTAGAAATTTTTCCATCCAGCCATAATCTTGAGAAAGGCTGTGTGTTCTTTGAGTTCTGAGCATGGTTATGCGGTACAGGAAGGTACAGGACAAAATAGAAGGGATTCTTCTTTTCTTCAAAGCATCCTGTGTTTAGCTTCCATATTGCACTCATCTCTGTGTAGTGCAATTATCTCAGTACTGAGTGCAGAACTTGATACTTGGGTTTTGCTAAAACGAAAAAAGAAAAAATGAATCATATCAAAGAAAAAACAACAAAAACAAATGTATGAAGGATCAATGAATGACTCTAGGTCATTAAAATGACCTGCAATAAAAATGCATGCCAGAATGGGGCAAATGGTGGGGGTGGAGTTAAGGAATTTAAAATACGTAACTTTTGTTGAGCCTTTACTACATGAAAGTCATTGTGCTAAACACCTTCTACCTTTTCTGATCTAATTCTCTTAACAACTCAATGCATATGGGACTATATCTAGTTCTATTTTCTAGGTGAAATAGCCTCAGAGGAGACTGTTTTAAGACAGGAGTCACAGTTCTAGAAGGGATAACGCTCCCAGAACAAGATAACAGAAGGGAAATTACTGAAGTGAACTGATCACATCATTCCAACCAGCTGGGCTGTGAATGATGGCATGGCACATGTCAAAGACATTTCCAAGTCGTTTTCTTCTGCTCTTCTATATGTAGATGCTGGCTAGGTACCAGATTTGGATACATCTTCCTTAGATGTTTGGAAACTCCTTCCTCTCCACCCATCTCTCTTTCTTTTTCTTTTCAATAATAGCTTAATTGAGATGGAATTCACACACCATACATTTCACCCATTTAAAGTATACAGTTCAATGATTTTTTTAGTATTTCAGAGTTTTGCAGCCATCACCACAATCAATTTTAGAACATTTTTACTACCCTGAAATAAAACCTCATACTCATTAGCATTTATTCCCTATTTCTTCTTCCCCTCAGCTTCTGGCAACTATGAATCTCCCCTTGTTTCTATGGATTTCCCTATTCTGAACATTTCATAAGAATTGAATCATACAATCTGTGGCCTTTTGTGCCTGGCATCTTTCAGTGTAGCTTCCAAGTGCATCCATGTTTTAGCAGGTATAAGTACTTCATTTTTTTTCTTTTTATTGCCAAGAAATAGTATATTTCATCAAATGGATATGCCACATATATTCATTCATCAGTTAATGGACATTTGGTCGGTATTTGACTTTTGGCTGTTACAGATAATGATACAATGAATATTTGTATATGTTTTTGTGTGAAACTATGTTTTCATTTGTCTTGGGTATGTATCTAGGGATAAAATTGCTGAATCATACATTAATTCTGTTTAAACTTTTGAAAAATTTTCAGATTGTTTTCCATACTGGCTGCACTATTTCCCGTTTCCATGGACAGTGTAAGAGGGTTCTAATTTCTCCCCGTCCTTACAAACACTTTTTATTTTCTGTCTTTTTGATTATAGCCATCCTAGCAGGTGTAAATTGGTATCGCATTAGGTTCCTATTTGTATTTACTTTGGGTCTAGATGTTGACCATTTTATATGTGCATATTGAACATTTGTACATCTTCTTAGGAGAAATGTCTATTTATATTCTTTGCCTATTTTTAATTGGTTATTTGTCATATTTTCATCGAGTTGTGAGAGTTACTTATATGTTCTTGATAGAAGTCTTTAATCAGATGTAGGATTTGTAAATGTTTTCTCCCATTTTGTGGGTTGTCATTTAATTTCTTTTCTTTTTCTTTTTTTTTTTTTTTGAGACACAGTTTTGCTCTGTCACCCAGGCTGGAGTGCAATGGCGTGATCTCGGCTCACTGCAACCTCCACCTCCCTGGTTCAAGCAGTTCTCCTGCTTCAGCCTCCTGAGTAGCTGCGATTACAGGCGCCCGCCACCACGTCTGCCTAATTTTTTGTATTTTTAGTAGAGACGGGGTTTTGCCATGTTGGCCAGGCTGGTCTCGAACTCCTGACCTCAGATGATCCGCCTGCCTCGGCCTCCCAAAGTGCTGGGATTACAGGCATGAGACACCATGCCCGGCTGTTATTCAATTTCTTAATGGTATCCATTAAAGAGCAAATATTTTAAATTTTGATAAGGGACAATTTATTTCTTTTCTTTTGTTGCTTGTGCTTTTGGTGCCATACATAAGAAATCATTACCATTCCAAAGTCATACAGATTTATGGCTATGTTTTATTCTAAGAGTTTTATAGATTCAGTTTTTACATTTAGTTCTTACATTTGGATCTTAAATTCATTTTTGGTGAATTTTTGTGTATGGTAGAGTAGGAGTACTTAGGAGTCCAACTTTACTAATTTTTTTTGCATGTGAATATCCAATTGTCCCAGCACCATTTGTGAAAATATTATTATTTTGTAATTGAATCATCTTGGTAACTTTGTAAAAATTTAAGTGTCCCAAAATATGAGTTTGTTCTTTTTTTATGAACTCTCAATTCTGATCCATTGATCTATATGCCTGTCCTTATGCCAATACAACACTGCCTTGATTACTGTAGCTGTGCAATAATTTTTAAATCTGAGTGTGATTCTTCCAACATTATTATTCTATTTTGCCTATTCTAGATCCTTTACATTTCCATATAAATATTAGGGTTATGTTGTCAATTTCTTCAAATAATCTACCTTGTGTTTTTTGTAAGAACTGAATCAAATCTGTTGATCAATTTGAAGAATATTGCCATCTTATTAATATGAACTCATCCAACTCATGTACATGGAAAGTCTATTTATTTAGGAATTCTTTAATTTCCTTCAATAAAGCTTTGTGGTTTTTACTGTACAGATCTTTTTTCATCTTAATGTAAAATATAAATATATTTCCTTTTTAAATTTTAGACTCGGAGGTGCACGTGCAGATTTGCTACATGCCTGTATTGTGTGACATAGAGGTTTGGGGTATGAATGATCCCGACACTCAAGTAGTGAGCATAATACCCAATAGGTAGTTTGTCAGCCCTTGCCCCCCAACTTCCACTCTCCCCCTTGTAGTAGTCCCCAGTGTCTATTGTTCCCATCTTTATGTCCATGTGTACCCAATTTATAGCTCCCACTTGTAAGTGAGAACATGCAGTATTTGGTTTTCTGTTCCTGGGTTTAATTTGCTTAGGACAATGACCTGTAGTTGCATCCTTGTTGTGCAAAAGACATACTTTCATTCTTTTTTATGGTTGTATGGTATTCCACGGTGTATATGTATTACATTTTCTTTATCCAATCCACTGTTGATGGGTATCCTATGTTGATTTTATGCCTTTGCTACTGTGAATAGTGCTGCAATGAACATACAAGTGCATGTGTCTTTTTGGTAGAAAGACTTATTTTCTTTCAGGTATGTACCCAATAATGGGATTGCTGGGTGGAAAGGTAGTTCTAAGTTCTTTGAGAAATGTCTACACTGCTTTCTGCAGTTGCTGCAATAATTTTTATTCCCACTAACAGTGTAAAATGTTGCATTTTCTCCGCAGCCTTGCCAGCATCTGTTATTTATTGATTTTTTTTTTTTTTGAGACAAAGTCTCGCTCTTGTCACCTATGTTGGAGTGCAATGATGTAATTTCAGCTCACTGCAACCTCTGCCTTCCAGGTTCAAGTGACTCTCCCACCTCAATCTCCCAAGTAGTTGGGATTACAGGCACCTGCCACCACACCCAATTAATTTTTGTATTTTTAGTAGAGATGGGGTTTCACCAAGTTGGCCAGGCTGGTCTCAAACTCCTGACCTCAAGTGATCTGCCCGCCTCAGCCTCCCAAAGTGCTGGGATTATAGGCATGAGCCCCCACGCCTGGCCTATTTATTGACTTTTTAAAATAACAATTCCACCTGGTTGGTGCAAGGGGGCATCTAATTGTGGTTTTGATTCACATTTCATTAGTGATGATGAACTTTTTTCATGTTTGTTGGCTGCTTGTAGGCCTTCTGATAAGTGTCGGTTCATGTTCTTTGCCTACTTTTTAATGAAGTTATTTGTTTTTGCTTGTTGCATTAGGTTCTTTATGGATTCTGTATATTAGGCCTTTGTCAGGTGCATTGTTTGCAAATATTTTCTCCAATTCTGTTGTATGTTTACTCTGTTGACGGTTTCTTTGTTTTGCAGAAGTTCTAGATCCCACTTGTCAATTTGTGTTTTTGTTGCAATTGCTTTTGAGCACTTACCCATAAATATTTTGATAAGGCCTGTGTCCAGAATGGTACGTCCTAGGTTTATGTCTAGGATTTTTATAGTTTGAGGTCTTATATTTAAATATTTAATTCATTTTATTTACTTTTTTATATGGTGAAAGAAAGGGTCCAGTTTCAGTCTTCTGTTTATGGCTAGTCAGTCATCCCAGCACCATTTACTTAATAGGAAGTAATTTCTCCATTGCTAATTGTTGTCAAGTTTATCAAAGACCAGATGGTTGTAGGTGTGTGGCTTTCTTTCTCGGTTCTCTAACCTGTTCCATTGGTCTATGTGTATGCTTTTGTATCAGTACCATGCTGGTTTGGTTACTATATCCTCATAGTATAGTTTGAAGTCAGGTAATAAGATGGCTTCAGCTTTATTCTTTTTGCTTAGCATTGCTTTGGCTATTTGGGCTATTTTTTGGTTCCATCTGAATTTTAGACTAGTTTTTTCTATTCTGGGAAACATGATGTTTGTAGTTTGATAAGAATAGCATTGAATTTATAGATTGCTTTGGGCAGTGTGTCCATTTTCACAATATTGACTCTTCCAATTCATGAGCATGGAATGTTTTTCCATTTGTTTGTGTTATCTATAATTTTTTTAGCATTGTTTTGTAGTGCTCCTTGTGGAGATCTTTCAGCTCTTTGGTTAGATGTATTTCTAAGTATTTTTGGGAGGGATGGGTGCTATTGTAAATGGCATTGTGTTCTTGATTTGGCTCTCAGCTGAAATGTTATTGGTGTATAAAAATGGTACTGATGTTTGTGAATTGATTTTGTATCCTAATATTTTACTGAAGCTGTTTATCAGTTCCAGGAGCCTTTTGGCAGAGTCTTTAGCATGTTTAAAGTATAGAATCATCAGCAGCAAAGAGAGATAATTTGACTTCTTCTTTTTCTATTTGGATGTCTTTTATTTCTTCTTGCCTTATTGCTCTGGCTAGGACTTTTGGTACTATGTTGAATAAGAGTTGTGAGAGTGGACATCCTTGACTTGTTCCTCTTCTTAAGGTGAATGGTTCCAGTTTTTGCCCATTCACTATGATGTTGGTTGTGGATTTATCATAGGTGACTTTTATTATTTTGAGGTATGTTCCTTCAATGTCTGGTTTTATCATGAAGGAAAGTTGGATTTTATCAAAAGCTTTTTCTGCACCTATTGAGATGATCATATGGTTTTTGTTTTTAAGTGTCCTTATGTGGTCAGTTGCATTTATTGATTTGTGTGTGTTGAACCAACCTTGCATCTTAGGAATAAAGCCTACTTCATTGTGGTGGATAAGCTTTTTGATGTACTGCTAGATTCAGTTTGCTAATATTTTATTGAGGATTTTTGTATCTATGTTTATTAGAGATATTGGCCTGAAGTTTTATTTATTCATTACGTTTTTGCCAGGTTTTGGTATCAGGATGATATTGGCTTCATAGAATGAGTTAGGGAGGAGTCCTTCTGTCTCAAGGTTTTAGAATAGTTTTAGCAGAATTGGTACCAGTTATTTTTTGTACATCTAGTAGAATTCAGCTGTAAATTCATCTAGTTCAAGACTTCTTTTGGTTGGTCAGTTTGTCATTATTGATTCAATTTTTAAACCAAATATTGGTCTGTTCAGGGTATCAATTTCTTCCTGATTCAATCTTACTAGATTTTGTGGTCCCATGAATTTATCCATTTCCTCTAGATTTTCAAGTTTGTGTGCATAGAGGTGTTCATAAAAGTTTCTAAGGATCTTTTGTATTTCTGTGGGATTAGTTTTAATGTCACACTTGTTGTTTATGACAGTTCTTTTTTGGATCTTCTCCCTTTTTTTTCTTTGTTAATGTAGGTAGCAGTCTATCAATTTTGGGTATCCTTTCAAAAAACCACCTTTTGGTCTTATACTTTTTATGGATTTTTGGATCTCAACTTCATTTAGTTTTGCTCTGATTTTAACATGCCTTTTCTTCTGATAGCTTTGGGGTTAGCTTGTCTTTATTTTTCTAGTTCATCTAGATGTGATCATTAATGTTAGATCATTAATTTGGTATGTTTCTATTTTATTGAAATCGATATTGAGTGCTACTAACTCTCCTCTTAACACACTTTTGCTGCATCTCAGAGATTTTGAAGTGTTCTACCTCTTTTTTAATTTACTTCAAATAATTTTTCTTATTTTTGTCTTAATTTCTTTGTTTACTCAAAAGTCATCCGGGGCAACTTTCTTAATTTCAACTTAATTGTGTGGTTTGAGAGATCTTATTGGAATTGACTTCTATTTTGGTTCCATTGTGTTCCAGGAGTATGATTGATATGATTTTTATTTTTTTTTATTTTATTGAGATTTTCTTCATGGCTGAGAATGTGATTGATCTCAGAGTATTTTCCAGAAGCAGATAGGAAGAATGTATAAGCTGTGGTTGATGGGTGGAATGTTCTATAGATATCTCTTTGGTTCAATTAATCAAGTTGATCAAGTATTGAATTTAAGTCCAGAATTTCTTTGTTAGTTTTCTGCCTTGGTGATCTGTCTAGTGCTGTCAGTGAGGTATTGGGTTCCTCCACCATTATTGTGTGGCTGTCTTTTTATAGGTCTAGAAGCACTTGTTTTATGACTCTAAATGCTCCAGTGTTTGGTATGTATATATTTAGAATAGTTAAGTCTTCTCATTGAATTGCATCCTTCATCAGTATGTAGTTCCTTTATTTGTCCTTTTATGCCATTGTTGGTGTAAAGTCTATTTTAACTAATTTAAGAATAGTTACCCCTCTTTTTTTTTGTTTTCCATTTGCATGATAGGTCTTTCTCCAACGCTTTACTTGAGCCTATGGCTATCATTACATGTGAGATAAATCTCTTGAAGACAGCAGGAGGTTGGGTCTTGTTTTTTTAATATGTGATATGAATATTAATCTTGAATGTAAATGGTCTAAAGGCCCCACTTAAAAGGAACAGAGTGGCAAATTGTGAAGTTGTTAGCTGTTAGGTGTATAGTTGTTTCATAGGGTCTCTGGGCTATATACTTAAATGTGTTTTTGTAGTAGCAGATATTATTCTTTTGTTTTCATGTTTCAAACTCCCTTAAGGATCTCTTGTGAAATTAGTCTACTGGTAATAAATTCCCTTAGTAATTGCTTGTCTAGAGAAGACTTCATTTCTCCTTCACATGAAGCTTAGTTTAGTGGGGTATGAAATTCTTGGTTAGAATTTTCTTTCATTAAGAATGCTAAAGATAGACTCCCAATCTCTCCTGGCTTGTAAGGTTTCTGCTAAGAAGTCTGCTGTTAGCCAGATGGGGTTCCTTTGTACATGATCTAACATTTTTCTGTGGCTGCCTTTAAGGTTTTTGCTTAGCATTGACTTTGCACAAGCTGGTGCCTATAGGTCTTGGTGTTGTTCATTTGGTATAGTATCCGGCAGGTGTTCTCTGGATTTCTAACATCTGGATAGTTACTTCTCTAGCAAGATTAGTAAAATTTTCTTGAATTATTTTTTCAAATGTGTTTTTCGGGTTGTTTTCTTTTTCTTTTTCCCTTTCAGGAATGCCAATAATTTGTAGATTTTCTTGCTTTACATACTCCTATATTTCTAAACGCTTTGTTCAGTTTTAAAAATTCTTTTTTCTTTATTTTTGTCTGACTGGGTTAGTTCAAAAGATTGGTCTTCAAGTTCTGAAATTCTTTCAGAATTGCTTGGTCCAGTCTATTGATAAATATTTTAATTGCATTTCATAATTTCTTAAGTGAGTTTGTCTATTCCAAAAGCTCTGACTGATTTATTTTTAAGCTGTTTATCTCTTTCTTCATTTACTGGATTCCTTTAGAAGTTTCTTTGTGTTGATTTTCAACTTGTCTTGATCTCACTGAACTTCTCTGATCCATGCTTTGAATTCTTTATCTTTCATTTCTGAGTTTCCATTTTGTTTAAGGAGCATTACTAGAGAGCTAGTGTGTCACAACATTCAGATTTTTCATGGTGCTGTAACATTTGCACTGGTGCTTTCTCATCTGAAAATGCAGCCACTTCTAATTTTTGTAATTATTTTCATGTGGATAGGATTTTTTTCTTTTTTTCCATATAATATTATTTTATTCTTTATCTTTCTCCCCCTCTCTAGGGGCTGTGACTGTAAAGAATGTAAGATAGAGTCTTTGGCTTTGCTTCTATAGCCCATTTTTATTCTAGGTTTGGGGCTTGACCTACAAGCTATTAGATGGTGCTTATGGGTAAGAGCTGGCTGCAGCCAATGTAGCTCTTTATTTACTGGGAGAAGCTCTGTGTTGCCTCAGGCAATGGGTAGATCTGTGAAGTGCATCGTCGGGGGGTGAGAGAAAGACCAAGATGGGTGGTGTCAGACTAGGCAGGCACAAACACCAGCACAAAGTTATAATCCAGTGGGCAGTTACCAAGTACCCAGAGGAGTGCCTACGCACGAAGTTAAGAAACTTCTTTGGTCCCAAGTTCTCTGCACAGGGAGAAGGGTTGGCCTAAATACCTAATACAGGAGAAGTGAGTGTTCCAGATGCTTGGAGATCTGTCTGGATATGGAATGCAGAGGGCCCAGGTGCAACAAAATCTCTGCACAAAAACGGTGAGGGTGACTCAGGCTGTTACCCAGGCAAGCTGGTGTTCTGTATCCCTGAAGGTCTGGTCTGGGCATGCAGCAGAGTAGGCCCTGCTCCATCACAGCCTCTGCACAGGAAGGATAAGGTGGTTCAGGCTGCTGATCCAGATGAGCAGGTGTTCTCAATGCCCAGAGATCTCCCTCAGCACCCCCTGCACCCAGATCTCTGTACAAGAAACTTAGGGTGATTCAGGCTGCCACCCATTTAGTTGAATGGGTGCTCAAACTGCCTGCAAATAGACCTGGACGTACAGTGAAGAGGGCCTCCCTGCGCCATGATCTATGCACAGGAAGCATGGGGTGGCTCAGACTGCTGATGTAGGTGAATGAGTGTTCTGAATGCCTGAGGATCTGCCCAGGTGTGGAGTGGAGGTGACCCTGCTGCACCATTATCTCTGCATAGGATAAGTGTGGCTGCCCAGGCTGCTGATCTAGGGGAGTCAGTGCTCCAAATGCCCAGAAGTCTGTCAGGGCCTGGAGCAGAGAGGGCCCCCCACCCATGCATGAGCATCTCAGCAAAGGGAGGGTGGGACAACTCAGGCTGCTGATCCTTGCGAATGGGTGCTCTGAATGCCTGGAGATCTGCCTCGGCATGGAGCAGGGAGATTATGCACCTTAATCTCTGGGGAGCTGGCTGGATCACCTAGCAGTGACATATGCAGACTGGTTCCAAGTCACCGAGCTGTTCCTGGCTGCAGTCTCATTGCCCAGGAGACAATGTAGCTGCAGCAATTCCCCTCCTGTCCCAGACCTGTGAAGGGGTAGAGCACAATTTCAGTGCCTATTGCTGGTGTGCTTTTCACAGTTCTGCTTGTGGAGGCATCTACATCTCCTCAGTGCAAGTGCTCTGCTCTTTGGCCTGAGACTAAAAAGCCAGCATGGCCATGCTGCCAGGTCACCTAACAATGACTGACTTTGTATGCACCTAGATTAAAAATGATGTCCTGCTTTTGGTCCCAGGTCTAGGAAAATACCTGCAGCTTTTTCTGGGGTCTTTCGTTCTCAGCATCTCTAAGACCCTCCCAAGTTAGCTCCAGGGCTTGGGAGAAACAAAGTGCTCTCCCTTGGCCTTGGTTGCACAGATCCCCAGTGGAAAGGTGAGTCACAGAGGGAGACTATTTTCCCCTCTTGTGTACTGGGGTTTCACTCACTTTTATCAGCCAGACATCATTGCGGGGGCTGTTTGCTCACCTTCTCCTCCCTCAGATCTGGGGTGTCCTTCATTATTCCAGTGGATTCTCATTTCCCTTTTCATTGCTACAGTATTTTGAGACTATTTTTACAGTTAAGTTTTGTATATTAATCATTTGTCTTATAACTCCTCTGAAACTCATTTAATCTATTTAAGTGGATTTTTTAGTATTTTCTATATTTAAATGTTATGAGTTGATTTGTGCTTCAGTACCCTGCCCAATCATATAATAAATTGAAATTCTAATTCCCACTACCTCAGAATATGACTTTATTTGGAGACAGGGTTTTTACTGGAGATATCAAGTTAAAATCAGGTTATTAGGTTGGGCACTAATTCAGTATGACTGGTGTCTTAATAAAAATTGAGAAAGTTAGACACAGAGTCACCATGGAAGAAACACAATATAAAGATACATAGGAGGAGATGATTATCTAAAAGCCAAGGATAGATACCTGGAACAGATTCTTTTCTCAAAACCTTCAGAAAGAACACATCTTGCTGACACCATGATTTTGGATTTCTAGTCTCTAGCACTGCAAGACAATAAAATTATATATTTGGAGGCAACCAGTTTGTGGTACTTCGTCATGGCAGTTGGAAAACTGATACAACAAGACCATGTCTTCTGCAAATAGACACAGTTTAATTCTTTATTTACATTTTGGATGACTTCTATTTCTTTTTCTTGCCTAATTGCCATGGATAGAACCTCCAGTGCAATGCTGAATGGAAGTGGGATGAGGGGCTATCCCTTTATTTCCTTATGTTAGAGGTAAAACATTTAGTCTTTCACCATTAAATATGATGCCACCTGTACATTTTTCGTAGATGCCCTTTAACAGATTAAGACATTTTTCTTCTATTCCCAGTTTGTTGATTTTTGAAAAAGAAATCATGAAAAAGTGTTATGTTTTATTAAATGCTTGTTCTGGATCTATGGAAATGATCATATAGTTTTTATCTCTTGTTCAATTAATATGGTTTGTTGAATGCATGTTAAACCAACCTTGCATTCCTCAAATAAATCCCCCTTGGTCATAATGTATAATTCTTTTTTGTATTTTGATGGATTTAGGGTTGTACTTTTTAAAGAGTTTTAAAAACTATATTCATAGGCAAAGTAATCTGTGATTTTCTTGTTTGTTATTTGTCTGGTTTTAGTCTTGGTGATTATTGTCCTCATAAAATGAATTGTGAAAGTTGTTCGCTCTTCTATGTTTTGACAGAGTTGATGTAGAACGGGTATTAATTCTTCTCAAATGCTTGGCAGAATTTACCAGTTGAAGCTTTGGTTCCTGTCTTTTCTTTTTGAAAAGTGTTTGATTAACAGTATACTCATTATTGATCTATTTGTGTTTTTATTTCTTTTTTGGTCGATTTTGGTAGTTTATGTATTTTTAGACATTTTCTGTTTTATTTAGGTTATCCAATTTGTTGCATGTAATTGCTCATAGTATTCTATTATAATCCTCTTTATTTGTGCAAGGTGAATAATAATATTCCTCTTCTTTTTTCATCCTAATAATCTGAGTCTTCTCCATTTTTAACTCGGTCAGTCTAGCTAGAGTTTTGTCAATTTTATTGACATTTTTAAAGATCTGCCTTTTGGTTTTGTAGATTTTCTTTGTGGCAATTATATCATCTAATTTTTTTCTGCCTTAATCCTTATTATTTACTTTATTTTGCCTGATTTGTACTTAATTTGCATTTCTTTTTCTAGTTTCTTAAGGTAGAAGGTTAGATTACTGATATTATTCTCATTTTAATATAGGTGTTTATAGTCATATATTTTTCTTTATGTATTCCTTAAATTGCATCTCAAAAATTTTTATGTATTGTGCTTTCCTTTTTCTTTCTGTCAAAGCATTTTTCTAAATGTCCTTGTGATTTCTTCTTTGTGCATTAGTTATTAGGGAATGTGTGGTGAAATTGCCATGTTGATGAATTTCCAAAATTTGCTTCTGTTATTTACTTTTAGTTTTATTCCGTACGTTCAGAGAATATACTTTCTGTAATTTGAAGCCTTTTAAATTTGCTGAAATATATTTTATGGCCGAGCATATGGTCTATATGAAGAATGCACTGGAGAAGAATATTCATTCTGCTGCTGTTGAATGGAATGTTCTATAGATATGTGAGGCTTTGTTGGTTTATATTGTTGTTCAAGTATTTGATTTTCTCTTATTTTCTGTCTAGTTGACTCACTCATCATTGAAGATGGTATATTAAAATTTCCAACCATTACTGTTGAATTGAATATTTCTCTCTTTCATGATTCTATCTACCACAAAGTAGATGATAGTTTATTTTGGCTGGTATTAATATAGCTAATCTGGCTCTCTTTTGGTCACTATTTGCATAATATCTCTTTTTACATCCTTTTACTTTCAATTCATTTGTGTCTTTGATTCTAATGTGTGTCTCTTGCAGATGGCATATAGTTGGATCATGTTTTCTTTTTAATTCTTTATCTATTCTCTGCCATTTTAGGAATGTTTAATAAATGTACCTGTAATATAACTGCTGGTAATGTAACATTTATTTCCATGATGTTTCTATTTGTTTTCTACATATTTCTACATATTTTCTACATATTTCCCCGCCTTCCTCTGTTGCTGTCTGTTATATGTTAAATAAATTTTTCTACGGTAGCAATTTACTTCTCTTGTCATTTCTTTAACTATGTATTTTTGAGTTATTTTCATAGTGGTTACCCTGAGAGTTACAATTAATGTCATAGCTTATGACTATCTGGATCAGATTAAGGCCAATCTAATTTCCATAGTAAGTACTAGCTTTGCTCTTACTTACCTCCATTTAATCTTTTCTCCTTTGTTGTATTGTTATACATATTACATCTTTCTATACTGGGCATCCATCAATAATGATTCATAATTATTGTTTTAGAAAGTTGTTTTAAAAATAAGATAGTAGAAAAAATATACATGTATACTGTGCTTTATATTTACCTCTGTATTTAACTTTACTGGTGCTCCTTGAATTTTCAGGTGGATTTGCGTTACAGTCTAGCGTTCTTTCATTTCAGCCTTCTTTCAGGTTCCTTTTAAAATTTCTTTTGAGTAAGTCTATTGGCAACAGATTGTCTCAGTTGTTGTTTACCCGGGAGTATCTTAATTTTTTTTTTCATTTTTAAAGGATAGTTTTGCAGGCTATAAAATTATTGATTGGCAGTCTGTATTTCAGCACTTTGAACATGCCATGCTACTGCCTGCTGGCCTCCACGGTTTCTGATGAGACATATGTTAATCTTATTGAGCATCCCTTGCATACGATCCATAACTTCTCCCTTTCTGCCTTCAAGATGGTCTTTGGCTTTCAACAATTTAATTGTAATATCTAGAAATAGATCTCTTTGAGTGATCCTACATGCAATTTGTTGAGCTATTCTTATTGCTTTCATGGAAGATATACTTTGCAGATGTCTTTATTGCTGATATCTAAGGATTGCATTTTGAGAGATAAACAAGAGTTGGGGAGAAACAGTGATGCCAGACTGGGGAGAAAAATAAGAGTTGAAAGAACCTTTACAATTCTCATTAAAACAAAGTTTCTGGCTAGACATTTGTTATCTCATATAGTAGCCACGTGTGTTTGCTTAAATATAATTTAGGGTGGGTACAGTAGCTCATGCCTGTAATCCTAGCACTTTTGGAGGCTGAGCAGTAGGATCACTTGAGGCCAGGAGTTCAAGACCTGCCTGGCCAAACATAGCCAGACCTCATTTCTACAAAATTAAAAAAAAATAGTGGAGTCTGGTGGTGCAAACCTATAGTCCCAGCCACTTGGGAGGCTGAAGCAGAAGGATCTCTTGAACCCAAGAGTTTAAAGTTGCAGTGAGCCATAATCATGGCACTGCACTCCAGCCTGGGTGACAGAAATTTTATTTTAATTAATTAAAATAAAATTAAATGTAAAATTCAGTTTCTCACTCACAGTAGCCAAATTTCAAAGGTCCAATAGTCACATGAGGCTAGTGCCATTTTGAGCAGCATCGATATAGAACATTCCCATCATTGCGAAACTTGTGATTGGAAAGTGCTGGTCTATTGTATAAGTGAGAAAATATAGTGTGATGTGACTTGAACATCACAACAGGACATTGGGACTGTTTTTCATATTTGGCAGCTATCTCATCTGGAGCAAGTTAATTAACTTCTTAGTATCATAGATCTTTAAATGGTAGGGATATAATTATTTAGTTAGGAAAACACATATAAAAGCATCTTAGCTCAGATTCCAGCACATGGTAGGTATCAATAAATGTTGATTTCATGCCTCTCCATACACATATATGCTTATCAACCTTCTCTTGTAATATTTTCAAAGGGAACTGCTTTCTATTCCTGATTGCATAAAATGCAAGTATCTCTCTATGCAAACAGGTATTAATAAGTGGCAGAAAAAAAATAAAATGGATAGTCAATAACCCTCAGACACAGAGAAGGTCACTTTTTTAATTTATCTATTGGTGGTACATTTATTTATTGGTGGAGGCTAAGGTTGGACTTTGCTGTGGGTCCCCTCTGTTGTTATTTTCAGCCATCATAATTCTTCCTGCCCTTTGATGACCCAGCTTCACCTTTGGTGTTGAGCAATCTCCACTCTCCACTCTCTTGCCACCCCCGACGGGTGTCAGGGGACAGCATGAAAACATGTTTCCATTTATAGAGACATTTTCTATCAGTAAATATTCTCTCTTTATAATTAAGCAGGAATCTTTTATTTAAAATCTAACTTTAGCAAAATATAAATCCTGGCTATTTGAACATTTTCAGAATAACACATTTTTTTTTTTTGAGAAACAAGAAATGTATCCACTTTGTAGCTAATAAAAATATACCTTTTATTGCAATATTTTTTCTTAAAATTCTTGAACTAGAAGAAATAGGGCCAGACACTGAAAGCCATGGATTCTTTACTGGCGCATCTTAATGGTCACTTCATGTCTGAAGGAAAATGAATATTCCTTATGGGATAACTCCTAAGATTTATTAAGAAAGGACAAGACTGTCAACAGTGATATAACTTCCCTATTAAGCTAGAATTGCACATTGGAAGGCAGACCTCGGCTTTCCTAGGAACAGGGATCTCGCAGCATGGAGCAATAATTCGGATACTCTCTGCCGACCATCCTCTGAAAAATAAAGAAACCATGTCTGTGCTATGCTAGGTTCTCGTAAAGCTAAGTGCTCTTAAGTAAAGCTGATTTTAAAAAGCTTGGGACTAGGATATTCCAAAGCGCATCAAAATTATACATATCCCTTGAAGGAAAAACTGTGTAGAAACTTTTCCTAGGGAAACTAAACTTTACTATTTTTAGTATGCTGGAAACCTGCTACATTGTTGTTTTCTTATTCATAAACTATGATTTAAACAGCTGTCTCACATTGAATCAAGATTTTCAACATTTCAAATGACTTTCTAGGCCATTATCTCTGTTTCTCATAACACTTTGAAGGAGGATGAAAAATTCTAGTAGGTATCTCTATTTAACGAGTAGAGACTGCAAAGCAATAGCCAAGTACCTGAGCTGAGAAAAAAAGGGGACAAAAGGCCATTTTCCTGTCTCATAGGTAAAGAGAAAGATTAGTTGGCATCAACACTAATTTTTTTTTCACAAACTAGTGACTGTGGCTCATTTATGCAGCCCTTGTGTCCTTGCCCCTATTTCATAAATTTGTAATGGGCATTTTTGGGAGGGCATGATGGGGATAGTGTATGCGTCCCAGCAGCAAGCAGGTAACATAACAAACAGAATAACTAAGAGAAATGTGGCAGGGCCCACTGGGTCTGTCACAAAGGGAAGGTCCTGTGGTGAGCTGGTGCTCAACATCTCTTTGTCTTCATAGAATTCAAAATGAAAAGAACGAAAAATGATAAGAGGTAATAAAGGGAATAAGGGCCAGATAAGGATTTTGTTGAGCAAACTTCAATTAGAATTGGGCTGTCACTAGGGATTCCCCCATTTAATTGATATGATTTTAAGTCAAAGTTTATTGGTCAATAGTTTCTCCTCTGTTCTTTAGAATTAGACTGTTATAACCCTGTATGATTGTGCTTTAATGAGCTTTTAAAAAGCTGCCTGATGATAACTGAACTCCCCTTCCCTTGAAACCTTTGACCTCTTTTCACACAGGTAGTTTGCAATCTTTCTGGCCATTTGGTATTTATCACATTCACTGATGATGAATCTAGGGAGTAATCCCATGATAATCCTGGTACAGGATGCAGAAGGAAACCTGGTCGTAACACAGAACATATTCTTATAGGGGATGCCGCAGCCATAGGGTACTGGGAGCTCACATGAAAAAGCTGTGATAAGACCTTGGGGGTTAACCTGGGACAGAGGTCAGACTTCTCTTTTGATAATGCCCCCATTAGTTCTTTAGTGACATGCGCTGCTATGGAGTTAGAAACAAGATCCAAAGTAGGAGCATATTGTGAAACTTTGTAATAGAATAAGCTTTTAGAACCTCTGAAGGTCCTGCTCAAAAATATATGCCTTTATGTTGAGTCACAGTTGTAGATATCTCTAGATTTGGCCCTGATTTGGTAGATATTATGACACCAATAAATTTCCAAAATTTTTTTCATGCAGATTAATCTCTTTGTTTCCATCATCCTTGCTACTCAAAATGTGGTCCGCAGACCTGCAACATTGACATCACCCAGGATTTTGTTAGAAATGCATAATCTCAGACTCCACCCTAGACCTACTGAATCCAACTGCACTTTTAAATGATCTCGAAATCATTTGGATACATGTTTGGCAGACACTGATCTGTACTGCACAACACTCCAAGGGGACACAGTTACTTAGTAGGGAGTTGGTCCTGGTATCCAGGCAAGAACAGATTGGAGAAAGGTTTCCTTGGCAAAGGAGAAATGATGGCTACCTTAGATGGCTCTGAGGAGCTTTCCTGCTCATCTTCAAGACAGAGTGCAAGAAGGAAGTGAGGCACAGCCTTGAGAAAGACAAGAACCTCATGCTCTATGAAAGAAACATTTAAGTAGCCCTTAAATGAGAACCAAAATTCATCAACTTTAGTGACAGTCTGAGAAAGTTGTGGGGTTTCAGGGTAAGTAGAGAAGTAAAATTCTGTTTCAGTTTTCCACATGAGCCTAGCGGAGGGGACTCTAGGATAATAGTCATTTGTGTGTTCGGTTTTCCCAAGAATATTTTTGTATCTTGTGTATATACAATGCTTGAAGAAAACAAAACATTTTGTATTTTTTTGTGTACTTGCTTATATTGTAGATATGATCGGGATACTGAAGACAGTACAGCAGTCATTTAGTTTGGTACTGCCCTGTATTTCTAGTTTATAGTATTTCGCATGCTTCTGATGATTAAAATATGATTGATGATTCAAGTCCCCTGCTTGTTTCTACCGGAAGTCCTGTGAGGAGAAGGGCTGTGTTGGTCATTCTAACCACTACATCTCCAGCAGAGATTTTGGAACCTGAGTACAGTGGCTACTTGTTGATGTTCAGAAGATAAATGATTCTTATGTAGGATGAGGAGTACTATGACAGAAGAAGAACAGGGCTGAGGAAGGATAGAGAGAGGACCTACCCATCTGAGGAGCAAGTAAGATAAGTGAGGGAGGGAAGAGAAGGGTAAGGTGGAGGTGGCTAAAACAGAATGAAGAGGAGGTAATGGGAATAGAACCAGGAAGGACTGGGTGGGTTTATGTGCTGGTAAGTGGGGAGAAGAATATTGTCACTCTTGCTGTCAATGCTCAAGGGATTTTTTTTTTTTAATTCTGAAAACCAAAGATGACCTCAAAAAAAGGGCAGGCTAGTCCACCTGACATATGACATAGATTGTGTATTTAATTATTGCACTGGGCCGGGCGCATTGGCTCTCGCCTGTAATCCCAGCACTTTGGGAGGCTGAGACCTCCTGGCCAACATGGTGAAACCCTTCTCTACTAAAAACATTTAAAAAACATTAACCAGGCATGGTGGCACAGCCTGTAATCCCAGCTACTAGGGAGGCTGAGGCAGGGAATCACTGGAACCCAGGAGGTGGATGTTGCAGTGAGCCAAGATCACGACACTACACTCCAGCCTGGGCGACAGAGCGAGACTCTGTCTCGAAAAAAGAAAAAAATTACTGCACTGACAGAAAAAAAAAGATGGTCAATCACTGTACTCACTAAATATGATTTACAGTAGTTTTAGTTATCATTTAATTACATTATGTTTTAAACATTATTAGACAAAGGTAATAACAGAATTACAAGGAAAAATTCTTAAACAGGTTGAACAAATTACCTGGCAAGTAAATTAATTGATATCAATTCCAAGCAATGAAATGAAGTACTAATTACTCCATATCACCCTGGATTACATGGGGAATGGGTAAATTTATTTATTGCAATTAATGGTTTTGATTACTAAAACAGCAACATTTAATGAATTCTGAAATGTTCAGCATTAGACACTCCTGTTTGTCATATTTAAAACCCCTGATCTGTACAAGGTTCTCTGCACTCAGCCTGTGAACAAAATGACCTTGTTTTCAGAGTGCAAGGAGAGGAGTCATGGCAAGCAGCCGAGCAGCACCTGCTCAGGAGCGAGGACCTGAGCTCTGCGTGGTTATAAATATCTACAGAGAATCTACGATGAACTTCACTTATAAATCAGCACGAGAAGTTGGAGTTGGTGGAGAGACAACACATGAGTTAAAACTAGGGGCTAAGAGGTTGGACTTTTCTCTGCCACAAAGAGGCTGTGGAGTCTTGGATAGGTAAACTCACCAAGCAAAGCACTGATCGCCTGGCTTGTACAATGTCAGCATTTGACAAGGCAATTTCTTAAGTTTCTCCTGCTCTAAAACGTTATATTACTAGCTATGGAAAAAGATATAGGTTATTAATTACATTTACATAATCATATAGCACTTTAAGTTCATAAATGTCTTCAGGATATGTTGCCTCGTTTAATTTTTCTGTTAACATGTTCATGATGATGGGGTGGGAAGACTTTTCTTCCTTTTTTGGTAAATTTTATTTTTGGAGTAAGGACACACAGAAAAACATGTAGTATTACTAATTTTAAGAGAACTAGAAAATATTTCATGCTTATCATTTTCTAATTACAATTGGAGGTAATATAAACCTGTTGACTTGGATATAAATTGTGATTCAAAAGCCCTTTGGCTACCTTGAAACATGATTGCTAGCAAAAATCGTGAAGATAAAAATAGAGTTATAAAATGTGTATCCAATTCTGCATGTTTTCTACCCTTTAATTACCAAAGTTCTGACCATCATGCCCTCCCCTGGAGCAACTGATTTTCAAAAGGCCTCAAAAAGCACTTTTATGACTTTTAAGGTTTATATAAAAGTCCACTCATTCCTGATACATCTCATCTTTCTACATTACATGTAAAGCCTAAGTTTTCCCCCCACACCAGATTTATGATTATTGTGGATTATAATATGTAAACAATAATCATAAATCTATACATATATAATCATGCATATAATTGTTTTTTCAATTATAAGCCTGATATTGCTGCACTAAGCTTAGCATGGACATCTCATCAATGTAAATTTTAATTACCTAAGGCTTTGATATGCTCTTATTCCATATAATAGTAAAAAATGAATCCATGTTTTAATAGTCAGTTTGTATTACATTAATTAACATGCAATTACTATTGCAATTATATGCTTTTTGATTTAAAGGGACTTTTTTATCCTAATAAGAAAAACTATATTGATATTTGTAATTCTCTAACCTTATATGTTATTAGTTTCTATACAATCAGTTTTTTGAAGAGTTTTTTAACAAATAAAAAATAATCTGGTATTTAACTTGTAAATTATCTTTTGGTATATGCAAAAAGCTTACAAAGAGTTGCAATAATATTTGCATATGAGAATGGTAGCTAATTTGAGTTCTATTTTATTTTTTATTTTTAAATGATGCATAATAATTATACATATAATTAGTCTGTACTCTTTTTTGACTGGCTTCTTTCACTCAGCATGATTATTTTGTAATTGCATAATCAATAGTTCATTGCTTTTCACTGCTAAGCATTATTTTATTATAGGGATATGCTACAGTGTGTTGATCCATTCATGTCTTGATAGACACATAGGTTGTTTGCAGCCTTTAGTCTAGGGTGAATTCTTCCTACAACTTCGACAAATTTCTTCTGAGTATTCTATCCAACGCAGGACAGTTCTCCAGGTGTCTTGGGCCAACGCTGTCTTCTCCCCTTTTCTTGCCTATAGTTCTCAAGAATAACTAGAATGTGCTGGGAATGCAACATTCTGACATATAGTGGAATTGGCTAGAACAGGCCAGGGGCTGCTCCAAGTCCTTCCTAGAACAGAATGTCCTACAGCGCTTTAGCCCGGTAACCATATAATCCCCGGAGTATAGAATCCACTGTGGGCTGCTTTCCAGGGCTCCTCAGCTGAAGTGCAAGTGGGGCACATACGCATAGGTTCCATCTGCCCTGGGTAGCTTTCCTGAAGCTTGGGGGACTAGTTTGTCATGAATTCTAGGCTTCTGTTGTCCCTTGCTGCCTATCTGTAAGTAATAAACCTACTTCATGAAGGGTTGTATGCAAGTGTTCTGGGTCACCAGACTTGTGCAAGTGATAGAAACTGTCATAGCTCAGCGTGCAGTGGGTGGGGGGTTTTGGGTCTTTCCCTGGGATTAATACCAGTGCAAAGTGAACTTGCTTTGGACCCAGTGCCCTGTGACTCAGTAGATTTTCCAGTCTGTTGAGTGGAAACAGGCACTATTCCCTGCCCTTGCGTAAACTCTAAGCAACTTTCTAATTCTTTCATGTTATTCCTTCCCAGATACTTTGGATGGTTTTCTCACATGCATTCATTGATTAGTATGTTATTGAATACTCAAGGTAGGTGTCATCTTCACATACCCAGAGTCCTATTTATAATTCTTTCTGTGTGCAGTTCTACCTTTCCTGGTCCATTGCCCTAAAAACTCAATCTACTTGGTCTCCCTAGGCTTTCAACCCTAGTCTCCTGGACTCCTGAGTTTCCCTTTCCTGAGCCACAGCCTAGAATCTCTCTCAAAGAGATAATATGGACAATTGTAGAGCTTCCATTATTTTCATTCATAACTCTTAGGGATTACTGTTCTTCATTTATTGATCTCCAATGTCTTGAAAATATATTTTCTCATATATTTACTCATTTTAAAATTTGTTTCCAGTGGGAGGTCAAATCTGATTCCTTTTACTCCAATCTGGTCTGAAGCAGAAGCTATGGGTTCTATAATTGCTATTTGCTTCTTTTTTATTGCTTTTCCCTTTGCGGTAAAATGTTATATCTTGTCAACTACTTTCTTGAACATATAAGTCATAGCAATTTTAGAATCCATTTCTGGGAACTTCAATATCTGAATCATCTGTGAGTATATTGCTACTTTCTCTTTCCTTTTTTCTTTCCTCTTGGCACTATTTCAGTTTCAGAATGGTAATTTATAATTGAGTCCTAACTTTTGTATATGGACAAGTTATAGAGGTGCTGAATGATGTTCTCTACCTTCACAGATGACTTCATTCGATTTAATTTTTGCTAGGCAGCTAGAGAAGGAGCAGATTCCAACACCGCTCTCTGATATCCAGCTGTAGAAAGATTGAGTTTCTATATCTTAATCATGTTCTCTTTCTGGTTTGCACCTACTCCCAGTGTGAACTCTTCCAAAAGCCCAAACTTTGAGCTTATACAAGAACTCTCCTTATTGGGACCCATATTTCTTTGCATACGTAACACTGTGAGGCTCTCCAAAGCTGTGCTTAGTGTTTCATCTTCTCAAATGCCCCTAACAGAAACCTGGGGCTGTGTATTGAGCTCACCTGCTGTGTTCTTCCCTCCTTTCTGGTACCCCTGTTTCCTTGGGAACCTTGAATTCTAAGTTTTATCTCTCCAATCCCATGTAATTGTCAAAAATTTTGTTTGGATTTTGGACTTCTTTGGAGCAGCTTTAGTTTGGCTTTTTAGACGCTAGTCCTGTGCAGTTTGGCAACCAGCGAATGCCTGGAGGGGAAAGGCCAGATGAAACATGAGGTTCACATCAGCACCTTTCTCTTTTTTGTGAGATTTTAACTCCTTAAATCCTATATTTCTTAGTAATCCCCTGAAGCCTTGAAACAGTTGTGTGCACATATGTGCATGGATGTGTGTTTGGATTACAAGGCTTCCCCACTTGCTCCTGGTGGGAGGGTTGGCTTCATAAAAACTGATGAATTATAATTGTAAGAAAGAGGCATGATACTGTTTTGAATTTCATCTTTTTGCCCACTAATTCTATAGCTTTTGAAAGTTACTTAAGCAGAAGATATTTTTGATTCCTTATCTGTAAAATAAGGATAGTCTATTTTATAGAGGTGGTGTAATATAACAAAAGGTGACTTTCTTGAAAGCACTATCTAACCTAAAATTTCCTACAAAATATGATTGCAAGTTATTAGTGGCACTAACAACAACAACAATGGCTACCACCTATTGTGCACAACTATAGTCAGATAATCTGATGTATCTTATTTGCATTGTTTATGACAATTATCACAATAAACATATAACACAGTCATTTATATCTTCATTGCAAGATACCATTGAGCAACCTTCTATTTTACATGTATTTTGATTTAGCATTTTTCAGAATTCTAAGCTCATGATTGTAAAAATAAGACTGAGGATAGAAAAATGCAAGCACTTCTACTTTTTACTTTTTTGTATTCTTACTGTGATCTTGAATCCTAGTTTTACCACTCCTAAGAGAGATGACCTTGTTTAAGTACTTTATCTTCTCTGAGCCTCATTTATCTCACATAAAAAGTAGGGATGAGAAGGCTTTCCTTACAGAATTATTGAGTAAAATAATATATGTAAAGCCCTAACATCATCCTTGAGGTAGAAACATCGTTCAAAATTGGTGCCACTGCCTAGCATTTGATTTTTGTAAAACTGTTTTTTACTACCCCCCATGTAAACATTTTAATAAATATTTGAATTCACATAGAGCAGCAGATATCTTATTTCTACAATTTTGTAGGAACTGTAGATATAAATTGCCATGAATGATAAACTAATACTTTGCTTTTGATTTGCAAGATATGATCTCAGAATTTGGCAGTCTTTCAATTACTTGAATTGGCCCTACTTGCCTCAAAAACCACAGTGTTTTGTCCTCTGAATCTGTTCCCTTTGCCTAAAACACCTCACTTGGCCAGGCATGGTGGCTCACGCCTGTAATCCCAGCACTTTGAGAAGCTGAGGCGGGCGGATCAAGAGGTCAGGAGTTCAAGACCAGCCTGGCCAACATGGTGAAACCCCATCTCTATTAAAAATATAAAAATTATCTGGGTGTGATGGTGCACACCTGTAATCCCAGCTACTCAGGAGGCTGAGGCAGGAGAATTGCTTGAAACCAGGAGGCGGAGGTTGCAGTGAGTCGAGATCGTGCCATTGCACTCCAGCCTGGGAAACAGAGTGAGACTCCATCTCAAACAAAAACAAAAACAAACAAACAAAACAAAAAACAAAAAACACCTCACCCATTCAGTCATTCAGTCTCCATAGATAATTCCTACGCTTTCTATTAGGTAATTTCAAGTACAACCTGTGTATGAATGCTCTCTCTAAGCCAGTATTATGAGTTAGAAAATCTACCATTCTTGGGCCTTCTTAATTTGTTGCACAAACTTATCATTTACTGAAGTCAAATTGCTTTTTTACATGTCTCTAACCTGTCTCACTCCCACTATAAACTCTACTCCTCAAAATGAAAGGCTGTATTTTTCATTACTGAATCCCCAAGCCTTAGCTAAAGGCTTGGCACATGGTAGGTACTCAGGAAATGTTTGTTTCAGGCAAAAAAAAATTTTTAAAGGAGTGAATGTGGACAGATCAATGTTATAGTCTTAATATAAGCTATTATGCAGCTTTAAAAGAAGCTAATATAATGTGTATTAGGCAGCAACAACAAAACCCATTATTTCTAATCCTAACTTCAGAATTTTCTGGGGAGATTTCAAAACATAAAATGCCTATGTGTCTTCCCCAGCGATTCTGATTTACTTGGCTTGGGAGAAGAGAGTTCTGGAATTTGTGTTTTTGAAAAGCTTCCTAGGAGATTAAACAGTGTTGTCATGTTTGAGAAGCACTGACCTAAACCATTTTCCTCCAGTAAGGAATATCAGATAATAGTTGATTAACATATGTATTGATTTCTTATATATATAAGAAATCATAAATAGGGAAAAACAGTGCAAATAAATATAGAATTGGTTGGAAAATATAAACAGTGGGTCCCACATGTGAATTATGTTTATTACATTTTCTGTGGAAAACTTTCAGACACCTGGAGTATGAAAGAACTTTCTCTGATTTGAAGAAGCATTTAAATCTAAATGCTTAAAAATGTGTAAACATGACATTTTACTTAGTTCCTGCAGAAACCCAATTATATTACATCAAAACTACCTTGGAAAATTTCAGATTTTCTCTGTGAATACTGGGATGAGCACGGGTCTTGCCGTTAGGTGAACACAATTTGAACGCTGGCTCTGTCATTTCTTCCTCTATTATAGGAGAAAGCCCTTTCTCATCTCTAAGACTGAGTTTTTTTCACACATAAAATTGGGGACACTGGAAAATATGTATTTTCCCATCTTCCCATCAATTATTCTTAGAAAATCCAGCTTGTTGGAACCTATGTTAGGAGGTGGATCTTAGTGATCAGCTGAGTTGATCTTAGTTGTGTTTTTTTGGGACGCAGGCTCAGAGATGAAGTTTCCTTAAAGGATATTTATTAGGGAGTGCCCTTGGGGAGAAGGAGGAAGCAGGATTTGTTAGAGACCAAAGCTGAGATGTGAGGCCTAATGACAACCCCAGTTACCTACCAGGAGAGTTCTAAAGTTAAAATAGCTATCCCTCTGTTAAGTTGAAATGGCCAGGTCTTTACACTCATGCCTTGACTGGCCCTTGAATGTGGGCCACCCTAGAAGTGCAGAACCTTGGTCTAAGCAGCTCTCTGCAGCTGAGGCAGACCCTGAAGTGTCTGGCAGCATCCCTGAAAGTCTCAGCAGCAAGTCCTCCTTGAAGGGGAATCAGAGAGGCTCATAACCCACATGGGCGTGAAGTTGACATGGTGAGGCTTCTCCATAAATGAAGGAGACAGTCTTTCAATCCATAGCCAAAGGGGCAAAGCAAAGATTGTCAGACCTGCAGAATTTTAGAGCTGAGACTGCCTGCAGCATCACTGAGTCTAACCTCCTCACAATACGGAAGAGAAGAGTAAGGCCCAGAGGTGGGATGAGACTTACCCAACATCACACAGCAAAATAGGAGTGGTGCTGGGATCAGATCTCAACCCAGGACTTTTCTCATTCCTTCATCATATCCCAGGAAAGGAATATCACAGTGGTTATGCATAAAGTTTTGGGGTCAAACTTAGGCTTGTATCTCAATTCTGCTACTTTATGGCTTGATTTTGGACGGGTTTCTCTTTAACTTCAACCTCTTTTTCTGTAGAATGAGGATAGTAAGCCATTACTTTGAAGACTTACCTGTAAAATGGCCACCATCAATTCTGTACTTCCCTGAAAGTGAAACTGCTTTTTCAAAATTATAATAGTAAGGGAAATCTGGCATAGTTGACTTCATCTTGCTTCTGACCTCGAAGCTGTTCTTGGTCATTCCTGGGTAAAGACCAAGCTAACCACGAGAGAAATTTAGTTTACAGTTTAACTTGAAAGCAAGGATGATAATAGTCCTTCCCTAAAACTAACCCCCACCTTGCTCAGGGACTGAAAACCACCTTTGTAAGACTAAAGGCCACAAGATTAGGATTATGAGAGGGGCCTGAACTCTGTTGAAATGTAGTCAGTTTCTGTAATCCCTTACTGCTAAGGAGTCATGTGGCTGGAGGTCACAAGACTTGTGACTTTCCTAATTGGCCCTATAGATAACATCACTATTGTGAAAACTAAGATTTTTTTTTTTTTTTAGATTATTTCAGACTAACTTCACCCAGACTCATGACTCATGACTCAGCTTGTCCTGTGCTCCCACCCAGAGGTGGAGTCAATACACCAGGCTAGTTTTCTACACCCCTATGATTTCATCCTCAACCAATCAGTAGCACCCATTTCATAGCTCCCTGCCCACCACATCGTCTACAAAAACTCTAAGCTCCAAGCCTGAGAGAATGATTTGAGTGTTAACTCCATTTCTCTTGCATGGGCCAGACTCTCATCAATTAAACTTTCTCTACTGCAATGCCATGGTCTCAGTGAATGGACTTTGTGCAGGGGGCAGGAAGAACCCACGGGGTGATTACAAAAGCACATCCCCTGAAGCTGGTTTGACTAGCAATTGCTTCAAACAATGACTTCAGTGGAAGGGATCCCTACAAGTTCTGGGCCTAACCTTTAAGAGAATTGGCAACTTCTGTCTGTTTTCCTGGAAATGCTTGCTCTGGAAGAAGACATTCATTGTATAAGTAGTACACCCACCCAAGGATCTCCAGGATATGAGGAAGCTCAAACTAGCTATGCAGAGAGGTTTCATGGAGAGAGAGATGCCTGAGCAGCCCCTGACACCTCAGCTGTTTTGGCTCAGGTACCACACGGATGAGTGGATAAGCCTGAAGACTGTGGCTCCAGTGATTGTAAACATATGAAAAGTCCCAGGTGAGATCTACACAGCTGAGCCCCTCCTAGAACCAAGGAATATGACAACAACAACAACACACACACATACAAACACACACACACATACATACACACACACACGTTATCTCATCACATGTGCTTAGCACAGGCCTTGGCCTATTAAAATAACTCAGTATATTTAATAAATGAGTACGCTGGTACACAAATTCTTAAGTTCCCATTTCAAATAATGTCACTTAGAAATGGTCTTCTAGCATGTCACTTCTCCATCCTACAAGTGGTATGTGCCTCATATCCCTTCTTTCTGTCACTGCACTTAAATAACAACTAACATTTACATACAGCGTATTATTTGCTCTAATTCTTCTTATAACTTTTATACATATTAGCTCATTTACTCTTCATAATAATCATATCATATGTATCATAAAATATTTTTTAGTGAGAAAATTGAAGAATTGGCTAAAATTACAGCACTAGATTGTGGTGAATATTGTGTAATCTTTATTTTTGTATTCATATAATGTAGTAGATACTCAGGACGCCTTAAATAATATCATAAGCTTTAGGGTTGTGGGGAAGGAAGGAAGGAGGAAAGAGAATAAGAGAGAGAGCTGGAAAGTAAGAAACGATTAAAATGTAATATGTAGGGAGAAAGGAAAGTTCTGGAACTAAGATGTTTCCTACAATTCTTCAAGGTTAAACAGTATAATCAAAATGAGAGCAATTTTACTGAAACTGAAAGATCAATAGGTCCATTTAAACAGCCTGACACTAGAGTGTGTAACTTAAATATCTAAATGGATTTTCTTAGTGATAATGTCATATGCTTATTGCCCCTCCAGCTCCCATTGTTAATTTCTTCTCTGCCCATATGTTTCCAGGCTAGAATGCAGCTTTGCTGAGATAATGTTTCTCATTTAGCCTTGGGGGTGGATATTTCGTCCTGTCTGAATGACATCCTGATGGCCACAGGCACCTTGGGGAAGAGCCATATCACTGAATTCACCAGGGTGTATTAACAGATAAGCTAAATTCTAGATATAGCAATTAATACAATCACTCATTTAGATAAATCATTTATTTAAAATTCCTTGGAGTCCTTTAGTCCTAAGACATGATTTTCAAATCTATGCTTATTTTATTACCTACCAAGTTATGGGTTCCCAGCCAAATAGCTCTTGACATTTTGCTGGGGGAAATGACGAGGTTTTAAAAAATGCACAGAGAATAGCTCACTTTTACAGCAGTGACTCTTTTCCCCTAAGGAGGGAGTGTCAGGAGAAGGATGAAAGGGTGAGTAGTGAGCAATGGGAACTGTGATGTTTATCCTCCTTTTGGTACCAGTGATTTACTCTTACAAGAATTGTGAGAAAATAGGCTCAGCTGAAAATATATTGAAAGACTGGGCATGAGAAGTGAAGAAAAATTATATTCAAAAGAGACATGCATCATATTTATTCAACCAGTAAATATTGAGTACCTTCTTCCTTCCAGGAACTGTCCTAGGAGCTCGGAATATAACAGTGAAAAAGAGAATTGTTAAGTTACTAACCTCTCTGACTATTATTATCCTTGAGAGAGTTGGATAAAATCTAGGGAGGGAATCTGTTTTTCAGAGTCATGCACTGACTATGCATGACTCTTGGCTGAAGAAACTTCAAAGTGTTTCTTACAGAAGGAATGTGGAAAATGAGTTAAATCATTGGTTCTCAAACTTCAGCATGCATCAGATTCACCTGGAGGTCTTGTTAAAACACCAGTTGCTGAGTCTAATGCTGGCATCTCTAGGACTGGGAAGAGACTGGAGAATTTGCACTTCTAGCAAATTCCCAGGTGATGCTGATGTTGTTGGTCTGAGGTACACTATTTGTGAATCACAAAATTAGATGGTAGAACTTGAGGCAAGAATCCCGGTTAAATGGCCATTGCACAAAGACACAATGTGAGGTACTATTTCAAGGAGTCTAGGCTTTGGGTTAAAAAAGAATTAGGTTTAAATTTGGCTTCATTTATTACTAATAGTTTTACATCTACGCAACTCCCGTAAATAAGAGACCTCTTAAAAAAAAAAAGATAGCGTTAAGGGTGATGGACAGGTTAATCACATAGAAAAATAGTTATCATGTTTAATATCTGGTCTGATATCCTCATTAGTAATTCTGGAAATCAGAGTTCAAGCACTAGGTTTCATCTCAGGCCTGAAGGAGGCCTTTTATTTATCCTTTCTAAGCTACCCTCAGATTCTTCAATTTTTTTCCATGTTTTCTGCCACCACCTCTGGTGAGCGTGACCAAACCATTCACCCTGCTCACAGGGTCAATACAATTGCAAGCTGTTTGATCTACTGCATCCATTCTTGCCTGATTCAAATCCACCTATGAGTGACCTATCTCAAAATGCAAATAAGACCACATCAACCCTTTCTGCAAGATTTAATTAGCTTCTCAAAACCCTTGGATTGTGACTTCATGATCTCAGCATGATCTGCAAATCCATGCATGGTTTGGCCCCTACCTGTCTTTCTGGCCTCACCTGCTCCGCACACCTTGTTGGAGCCTTTGTGCCAGCCACAAGTCCCTCCTTAGGGTCCCTGAATCCAATGTGCTGTCTCTTGTCACAGGATAATTGTATTTGTTGTTATGCTTTCTGAAAATCTCTCCCCGCTCTTCACTCCAATCTCATCAGATCTCTACCTAGTTCACTCTTACCTAGACTTCGTATCTAAGCTAGACTATCACTTTTGCAAGAGGACCTTTTCTTACCTCCCAGTCCAGATACAGAGTTTTAATTCCTTTCATTTTTGCTCTTAATTCCATGTACCTTCCTTCCATTGCTTTTATGTCAGTTGTAATTCCATTTATTTTTGTGATTATCAGTTTTTTTTTTCTCTCTCTCCAATTACACTCTAGTCTCCACATGGGAGAAACTGTGTCAGTGTTGCTTATTACCCAGCATTAGCAGAGTACTTGGCATGCAGCAGTTGCTTAATAGTTAGCCACTGAATAAATGAATGAATGAATGGACCCACAGTAATGACCTGAATGCTTGCATTTGTATACAAGGAGAGAAATACACACCCAAAAAGAGTGGAAGGGAGGATTACACACAAGTGTATTTCTTTGAAGTATATGATGAGTGAGCTGGCTTGGGAATACAGTTCAATCAACATCCTACTTTAGTGCTTTACCAATAGAGATACAATTATCATTTTGTTTAAGGCAATTCTTCATTATCGGAGACTATTTTGAATGTTGTAGGAATTTCAATTACTGGTCTTTGCCCACAAAATCCCAATAGCACCCTCCCTCTTATTGTTGCTAAAGGGCCCCAAACATTTACATATGGTTGTTAAAGAGCAATGATGCTGCTCTGTGAGTACTACTGTCTAAATTACATTAGCATCTCCTCCAGCCTGGCAGGAGGAGCAAGAAAGAGAGTGAATGGAGAGGCAAGCAAGAGGGCCATTTTATACCTCTCACAAACATAATTTCTGATGTTGGTTTAGAGATTACTTGAGAAAACCTACATAAAGTGCTTAGTGCTGGCCTAGCAAACAGTAAACTTTCAATAAATAGTGGCTATAAGTAATACGAAGTGAGTTTGAGGGGCTTGACTATGAAAGTAATCATGAAGTTGGAGAAAAGGAGAAAGATTTAAGAACCATTTAGGAGGTACACTGAATTTTTCTTGGTAACTTACTGTTTGGGGATGGAAGGGGAAGGAGGAGTCTAGAATAGCTTCAAAATTTATGTTTCTACTATGAGTTCCATTAACCAAGACACAGAAGATGTGAATAAGGATCAGGTTTTAAAGGGAAATGTAATGAATTTGGTATTGGACAGCTGGATTTGAAATGTCTCTGGAAAGAATTGTCAGAGATATTGTTTAGCATTTGCATATAAGAAAATGAATAATTTCTGAATTCCTGTTGTAGGAGGTGAAAACGGAAAACACAAAGTGATGGAGGCTTTCCAGCAAGCGGGTATGGCGTGGAAGCCTGGGGCACACCAACCCATGAGGCTAGTCAAAGGAAGTGAAGAAGGGAAGACCGCAACAAGGGCAGGAGACAGGAGTCACAAGTACATTTCCTGGAATCCAAGGCCTAAGTGTGCTTTAGCAGTAAGGGAGCCACCACCAGAGTTGGAATTCCTCAGGAGGTTTATCTCAAAGCCCTAATGTATTAATTTTCTAATATACTCTATTTATAAGTATGTGCCTAGAGAGTAGACTATAGTTGACCTTTCAAAAACATGGGAATCAGGGGTGCTGACCCCCATGCAGTTGAATATCCACATATAACTTTTGACTCCCCCAAACTTCACTACTTACAATAGTTAAATTGACATACCTTTGCCAGAAGGCTTACTGATAAAAAAAAAGTCCATTAACACATACTTAGTATGTCATATGTAGTATATACTATATTTTTAAAATAAAGTAAGCTAGAGACAGAAAAAATGTTATTAAGAAAAATCATAAGGAAGAGAATATATTTACTATTCATTAAGTGGAAGTGAATCTTCATAAAAGTCTTCATCTTCACCATCTTCATGTTGAGTGGGCTGAGGAGAAGGAAGAGGAGGGCTTGTACTTGCCGTCTTAAGGGTAGCAGAGGTGAAAGAAAACCTGCTTATAAGTGAACCCGTGCAGTTCAAACCCGTGTTGTTCAAGGGTCAATTGTATTTTTTTCTGTCCAGAGGACTTTTCCTCTTCCTTTCAGTAAAAACAAAATGCTTTGGGAAATTATAGCTTCTCTACTTCGTGTGGTTCTCATAGGTATGCTGATATCAGGATCTCACTCTTCTTCTACTAGTGGGCATAGGACCTAGGCTTGGTCCTCCTCTAATTAACACTTTTCTCTCTCTAGTCTCAGTTTCATCCAGGAATGGACATGTGCTCTAAGCTCGGATAATCAGAGTTATTTTCTGAATCTGAATATGCACCTTAGGATATAATGAGTTTGCTTGCTACAATGGGCTCCAATCTGGGATGACAGAAGCTTGCAGTTGCTTACAGCCTGTCCAGCCCTATTCTCCCTTCCCCACTCCCCCTGCCATAGGGATAAATGCTGCTTATAGTAGAAGTAACCAAGGTCAGGAAGAGAGGAAGAAGCAGAGACAGTGTCAAAACAAGTGAAGTGGGGAGAGGAAAAGAGCAAAATCACATTAATTCCACTCCATAAAAGTCTAAAAAAAAACTGTTCCCCCAGTTAGAACTTTTCAGTTAGAAGAGTCAATGAATTCCTCGTTTCACTTATGCTACTTTGAGTAGGGTCTTTGTTACTTGAAACTGAAGTGTACTGACCCACATTTCCCCAATTCCTCAGAAAAACCTTCCCTGACTCTCAGCCAGATCCAGGTGTACAGTCATTTCTTCTTGCCTTCTGTGGACACCTTCCAAGTGCTGCCCTTTTTTCTACTTCAGCCTCTTGCACATCTTTTCTGGAGCTTCCTGACTGTGATGAGTGACTTTATGTGTCAATTTGACTGGGTTAAAAGATGTGTGGAGAGCTGGCAAAACATCATTTCTGGGTGTGTTTGTAAAGGTGTTTTTGGAAAAGATGAACGTTCAAATTGTAGAATGAGTAAAGATCTGCCCTCACTAACATAGGTGGGCACCATCCAGTCCTTCGAGGGCCAGGAGAGAACAAAAAGGAGGAGGAAGGGTGAATTCTGTCTCTCTCCTTTTGAGTTTGGACATCTATCTCCTACCCTCGGACACTGAAGCCCCTATTCTTAGGCCATTGGACTCTGGAACTTGCACTAAGCGTCCCTCTAGTTCTCAGGTTATTGGCCTCAGACTGGGAGTCCCATTTGGCTCCCCTTGTTCTCAGGCCTTCAGATTTGGACTGAATTACACCACCAGCATTTCTGGTTTTCATGGGACTTCTAGGTTTCCATAATTTTGTGACCAAATCCCATAATAAATTCCTCTGATTTTTGTCTATCTATATTTATATGTATTATCTGTTTCTATCCATCTATCGAATGTATCCATCTATCTAGTCTGTTATATATCTCCATCTCTATCATCTACCATCTGTCTATCTATCTATCTATTATCTATCTATCTATCTGTCTATCATCTATCTATCCATCTATCTATCATCTATCTATCCATCCATTCTATTGGTTCTGTTTCTCTGGAGAATTCTGAATCATACACCACCTATGGATTTGCTTCTCCACCCTGGCCTCCGTTGTCTTTACTTTCATAGTCATCCTCCTTGAAGGAGCCCTCCACCCCAAATCCCTGCATCTATTCACCCCACCTCAGTCCTACACCGTTAGTCCTGACAGTGGTGCCTATGAGCTCCTCATGCTTACCTCCCCTCAGCCTAGAAGTGGCTTCCCAGGCCAGCTCATGTATTCTTCTCTATGAGCCATCTTATTCCTAGTTCAGCCCAATAGCTCTTACCATAACCAGCACAGATATATTTCTCTTTATTTTACATATGCAGTAAATTAAGCTGTGGAAATTATTTGATTTACTAAATGTTATATATTATAACATAGAACATACATTTTCTTGCAGACAAGTACTCATTTACTCTTTTCTCTCATTCTTACTCAATTCACCCTCTTCCCATATGTTTAGTTGGATTTACTCAGAATCTATAATTCATTTATTTGTGTAGGAGGACCAGTGGATAACACAGAAACTATGTCCTAAATTCCTTCCCTTAAGAATCTTCTGTTGTTATTGATGGAACAAAGTTAATGCCACATGTAATAACAATGAACAATATTACATGTTTTACATGGATTTTTTGTGACACAAATCATGTTTTTTTTTTTTTTTTTAATGTAGAACTGGCTAGTAAATAAGGGTGTGCTGGTCATGGAAGGCTTACTAGAGGAGGTTGTGTTTGAGCAAGGCCTTTATGAAGTATCCAAGGAAAAAGGGGACATTATATGCAGGCAGTCACTAATGAGGATAGTATCTTAAAAAGGGTCTGACTGAAACACGTTGGAAAGCTCTTTATCAAGTTGAGTTAATTTCCTTCTATTCTTAATTTTTTGAGAGTTTTTATGATGAATGGGAGAAAATGCTTTTCGTGGTCAATTGATAAGATGATATGACTTTCCTTCTTTAGCTTGTTGATATGGTTAATCACATTAATTGATGGTCAAATGTTGAAGACTTGTATACTTGAAAAAGAAATCCCACTTGTTCATGAGGTTTTTTTTTTTTAAAATATATTGGTGAATTCATTTGCTAAATTTTGTTAATGATTTCTGTGACTAAGTTCATGAGAGATAATGGCTGACAGTTTCCTTTCATGTAATGTCATTTTAGGCTTTTGGTGTCAGGATAATACTGGCTTTATGAAATGAACTGGGAACTGCTTAGTTTTGTATTTTCTGGAAGTTATCATGTGTAATTTCCTTTAAATGTCTGGTAAAATTTTCTAGTAAATTTTTGTGTGTTTGGAGATTTTTTTCTAGGGCTTTTATAAATTTTTATTTCTTTATTGACTATAGGGCTATTCAGATTACATATGTTATCTTGGTTAAGTTTCTCAAGGAATTCATTCATTTATCCTAAATTGTAAAATTTATGAGCATAAAGTTGTGTCTACCATTCTCTCATTGTCGGTACTGCTAGAGGATTTGTAGTGCTGTCCTCTGTTTCATTCCTGATATTGGTGACTCATGCCTTCTCATTTTGTTTTTGTCAGCCTTTTTAGTGGTTTGTTAATTTTCTTAATTTTGTTGAGACAATCAGCTTTTTGATTCATTTATTTTCTCAGTTGTTTTCCATATTTCTATTTCACTGATCTCTGCTCTTATCTTCAAATAAGTTGTCTTATTTCACATAAAGAGATATCTTTCAAAAATTAAGAAATATCTTCTTTTTGACTGATCAGCTTTACTACTGTTTTCCTAGTTTTCTTTCAGGTAAGAACTGAGATAATAGATTTGTGACCACATTGGCTCACTTTAAAAATATTGGACCAACCTTGCATGCCTGTGATAAATCTCATTTGCTCACATTGCATTATCCTTATATTTTTATTGCTGAATTCTATTTGCTAATCATTTGCTAAGGATTTTTATGTATATAATAATAATTGTATTGGTCTGTATATTTTATTTATTTTACTGTCTTTGCCTGATATTGTCACTAGTGTGATGCTGGCCTCATAAATGAAATTAGGATGGCTTTCCTTTAATTCTATTTTCTTCAGAATAATTTTTATAATTGTATATAATTTTCTGCTTAAACATTGGTAAATTTCAACATTTGGTAGATTTTTCTGCTTAAATGTTTGGTAGATTTGTTCTTATATATTCCTGGATTTTTTTCTTTGTGAAAAGACTGTTGAATAAAAATTCAATATCTTGTATAGATATAGGACTGTTCATTACATGTACTTCTTGAGTTTTGATAGTTTGCTGATTTCAAGTAATTTGTCCATTTCACCTATGTTATCAAATCAAATTCACTGACATAAAATTACTATTGATATTACCTTATTATCTTTCTTGTAGTCCATGAGATTTCTTATATTTCTTAGTAAATTGTGTCAGTTCTGGTTTTTTCTTCATCCATTTGGCTAGAAGGACATCAATTTTATATATCTTTTCATGAACTAGCAATTTATTTTGTTTACTTTCTCTATATTTTTTTCTCTTCTTGTTTTATTGATTTTCATCTTTAATTTTAATTATTTCCTACTTTTCCCTTCGCATTTAATTTGCCCTTCCTTTCATAGTTCAAGGTTGAAGATTAAATTATTAATTTGAGACTTCTTGTCATTTTGAATATAACAATTTTACACTATAAATTTTCTTCTAAGCTCTTCTTTAGTTATGCCCCACATGGTTTGATATGTTGCATTTTCATTTTAATCAATATAAAAATCACATAATATCCATTGTGATTTCCACTTTTGTCCTTGGATTTTTTGAGAAGTATGGTGTTTAACTTCTAAATATTTGAATGCTTTCTGAATAATATTTTGTTACCAATTTTTAGTTTTAATTTCATTTTGATCCAAGATCACACTTTGTATGATATGAATCCTTTTAAGTTTAGTACATTTTGTTTTATGACTAGGAGTATGGTCTATCATGGTGAATGTTCCATGTGTACTTAGAATGTGTATACTGCTGTTTTTGGTTGAAGTGTTCACACATGTCAATTAAGCCATGTTGATTGATAGTGTTATTCAGGTATTAAATATTCTTAATGATTTTCAATCTAGTTGTTTTCAATTGCTTAGAGAGGGTTGTAGTGTTTCTAAATGTTATTGTGAATTTGTCTGTTTCTCCTTTTAGTTTGATATGTTTGATAGGTTTCTACCTTATATATTTTGAAACTGTTTAAGGGGCATATAAATTTGCAATTGGTTTGTCTTGAATAATTTACCACTTTATCATTATCCAATGTCTCTGTTCATTCCTTATATTATTTCTTGTCCTGATTTCTACTTTGTCTGATACTAATATAGTCACTCCAGATTTCTTTTTATTATAATTAATTTGGTATATCCTTTTCCATCCTTTCATCTATTTTGAACATTGTGTGTGATATATTGGATTATATTCATTAATTTTAGAATGTTGAGCTAGCCTTGCATACTTAGAATAAATATCACTTGGACATTGAGTATAATTGATTATTTGTATACATTCATAGATTTGTTTGCTAATAATTTTTTAAATTTTTTTCTTTGCTGCTTGTATCAGCAAGTCTGCTAATACTTTCTTGAGAAATTGTGTGTCTATGTTCACGAGAGAGAATACTTTGTGGTTTTGTTTCTGTACTGTCTTTTTGGGGCTTTAATATATGAATAATACTGGCCTCATAAAGTAAACTGGGAAATGTTCTGGCCCACCTACCCTGGAGGAGGAAGCAGTCTTAGGCCCGTGGAGATAAGAAGCTTTCTGGACAGGTTGATTGCTGTGGTTGAATCTATCTTACCATTTCCACCTGCCTACCTTTGTACTTTTGGAGGGTGATGGACGTCTCAAGCTTGCTGGAAAAGGGAGTCACTTCCTCCTGTGGCTTCTTAGTAACAAACAGCAGGGAGAAATGGATTTACATCATCTTGTCCTACCACTCTTTTTTGCACATTTTTATTGACACATGTCTTCCCCATTTCACTGTGCTCTCCTTAAGGACTGCAGGGATTTTATTTATCTGTATTCTCCAGGGCCTAGGGCTGTACCTGGCATGTAGTAGGCACTTATTTAATGTTAAATTATAAAATTGACAATTTAATATTTGGAGAGGTAAAAGGGAAAAGAGAATATTTTGTTCATTAGGTAATGCTAGTAGGTCATTTTTTGGCCATCTTTTTTTTTTTTTTAAAGACCTGTTTGGAATAAGATAAGGGGACTATTGATTGCATATCTTTCCATGACTGAGTTCAAATAGTTTGTAATATTGACATTCTAGACCTCACCAAAGCTAACAGTCACAAGTGAAAAATCTGACATTAACTCACCAGGCAATATGCCCAAACCTTTTTCAGGCAACCTTGGTGGGCCCAGGCTTCATGAATGACCTCATGTCTATTTCTTTACCTATGAAATTTACACTCATTCCATCAAGCAACTATCAGAGATGGAAAAATCTAAGTCTGGAGGAAGACATGGAAGAAAGGTAACTTCCAGAGAGAGGAAACACAGTGTTGCACATTTAACCAGATAGAAACGTCAACAATGGTGCATGATGAAACCAAGTTCTGGAAGTGATGGCATGTGCCTCATAGAAATTATTAAGATGGGGAGCTATTGAAAACCTGAATGTCGGCCGGGCATGGTGGCTTACGCCTGTAATCCCAGCACTTTGGGAGGCTGAGGCGGGTGGATCACGAGGTCAGGAGATTGAGACCATCTGGCTAACATGGTGAAACCCCATCTCTACTAAAAATACAAAAAATTAGCCGGGCGTGGTGGCAGGTGCGTGTAATCCCAGCTACTCAGGAGGCTGAAGCAGGAGAATAGCGTGAACCCGGGAGGCGGAGCTTGCAGTGAGCGGAGACTGCATTCCAGCCTGGGCGACAGAGCCAGACCCAGTCTCAGAAAAAAAAAAAATATAAGAGAGAGAAAAGCAGAATGTCATGCTTCAGCTCCAGAATAATGCTTAGAGTGGTGTCTATTTTGTGTCTCTTTTTCTACATATCCCTGAATTATCCCGAATGAAAAGGTAAGTGCTAATATTCACATAAACATTATGTGGATCAGTGTTTCGCCTAGAGGAGAAAACACCCGAAGACCGTATGTCCATGTTTTCCTGGGACTATGTTGATGCTAAAGTTCTAACCATGACTGCAGCAAAAGGGAAATCACACTTCTGGGGGTGTGGCCAAGAACTGACATTTTTCAGATGTGATTTGCAGGGCACCACCTGCCTCACCCCATCACCCAGCTCTACTCCAAAAATGTCTCAACAGCCTGTGACTGGTTTAAGATTCCACTGCTGAGGCATTCATTTTGGGTTAAATTACTGTTCTCTTAAGTATAATTTTTCAAAATAACCCTGGAAGCAAATGACCTTAGATAAATTATCAATTAGTTGCTAATTTTTTATGAGCTGGGAATGCATCTTAAACTGTACTGTGCCCTTTGGCTTCCGCAGTGTCCTTGTCTACGAAGCACCTCTCTGAGCTCTGAGGATAGAGCATTGTGAGAGGTCATATATTTTTTATAGTGGTGATAAGTAGAAGAGTTAGGGGTGTGAGACTGTGCCAAAGGAAGGCAAACCTGAGTGTGAGGGTCTACATGGCCTGGACTGAAGGATCTGTGAAGCCAGGCAATAGATGTGATGATGCGATAGGAGTCCACAGGTACTGGGAGTGGATACCACAGTAGGATGAGAGGTAGAAATTGGTGGGCAAGATCAAGGAAGGAGGACATAATTATTTCTCAGCTTGCCCAGTATACTGGGCTCACGGACAGTTTACGCTGAACATGTGCATGCTTGCTGGTTTGGCTCTTTAGCCCATCCCTCCCCATGGCTCGTCCGAGCCTTCCTTAAAAAAGCCATTATTGACTGGGCATGGTGGCTCATGCTTGTAATCCTGGCACTTTGGGAAGCTGAGGCAGGCAGATCATTTGAGGTCAGGAGTTCGAGACCAGCCTGGCCAACATGGTGAAACACCGTCTCTACTAAAAGTAAAAAAAAAAAAATTTGCTGGGTGTGGTGGCACACGTCTGTAATTCCAGCTACTTGGGGAGGCTGAGGCAAGAGAATCGCTTGAACCCGGGAGACGGAGGTTGCAGTGAGCCGAGATTGCAACACTACACTCAAGCCTGTGCAACAGAGTGAGGCTCCATCTTAAAAAACAAACAAACAAAAAGCCTTTATTTGTTCAAATGTGGCTTAATTGCCTCTCATTTTCTGCCTAAAGTGTCTTCCTCTCTGCCATGTCTGTTTTATTCCTTTATTTATTCAATATTCTTGGGCATTTTCTCTGTTCATACACTCTTTTAAGGATATAGAATGAATAATATAAATAATATCTCTGCCTTTGTTATGCTAACATTCCACAGAGGGATAATATAAAGTAAACAAATAACTAGACTTGATAATATGCTAGCATGTTTTATATCAAGAAGTCCCTTTCTGCTCTACCTTGGGTTCTGTGATGCGTGCTAGTAACCTGCCTCCCTCCTTGTTTGGATGGGACTCCAGGACAGGTCCTGCTACACCAGGCACCGTGGCTCCCAGAAAAAAGACACCCACCATTCCTCATGCGCCAACCTCTGGCCCAAACTTTTAGGTCCGTGTACAGACTAGAGACCCCATTTATCTGGCAAAGGGAATTTGATATGCGGTGCTTTTGCTACCGTGTGTATGTGGTGGGTGCAGGGATGAGTCCAACCAGGGTAGCAGTGAAGATGGTCCCAGGGCAGGCGTTGAGAGCCAATGGAGAAATTGTGGCTATAGAAAGAGGTTTCTCTTGTTTGTCTACCTTTTAATGAGGAAAAATGTGTTAATAACACACTTCCAAGGAGAAAGATGACGGGCTGGATTCCATACTCGTGAGTCTCAAAGCCTGTGAACTTGCCCAGAGTTCCTGTTCTTATTCTGTGTCATTTCCCAGTCTCCAATCCCAAAGTCTCAGCTCTAGGCCTTTCATCCCCAGATCCATGTCCCCAAACACCTTGCTTAACCTGATTCTATGCTGAATGCAGGAGTTTTGCCATCCTACCTTGCTTTCTCTGCCTTTGTGTTTCTTGTTCAATATGCTCCAATACCAATTTGTGTGCTAGGCACTTTCTAGGTGGTGAATATAAGACTGAATAAGAGATGGAACGTCTCTATGGAATTGGCAAACTAGTTGGACAGGCTGATTGTTGTGGTTGGATCTCTCTTATTTTATAAACTAGTTGAGTTCTTCGCAAACATTAGCATGCATAAGAACTCCTGAAAGACAAGTTCAAATGCAGAATCTCAGGTCCTACCCTGAGTTTGCATTTGTATAGTGGGGTGTGTGTGTATGTGTGTCTACCCTGAGCTGAGTGGGTCTGTGGATGGGCCTGGGAATTGGATGTCTAGTAAATTCTCAGGCAAGGCTGATGCTGCTATCCTGTTGAGCAACGCTGAGAGACACACAGATGAATAATCAGGTATATTCGTCAGAACTCTATTACGCATGATAAAGAGCAATTCATTAACACAAGCAAAAGTGGAAATTTCTATTTATAGAACTTGGGAAGGATCAAAGGAAGAACTGCCTGAAATAGAAGCTCAGAGATTGGAATCAAGTACTCACAGTCTTCTGGAAACCTCTTTGCTTCTTCCACTTCTGTGTGGTTCTGCTCAGCTGTGTTCTGCAGAGGCCTTTTTCTTGACCAGTGAATGTGGCTAATGATAACCTGGATTTTTATCTTCTCATTTAAAGATGCCAACAGAAAGAGACACTCGTACATCAGTCCCAGGGAAAGGCTCTAATTGATGCCACTGAGACCCAGGCCTCAGTCTCTACTGTTCCCAGGGACATGGGCCATGCCTAGGATCAGAGAGGAGGGGTCTAATATTAGAAGTGGAAAGAGAAATGCTGCCAGGCAAATGTAAAGCAATGGTCCCCATGTCCCCTGGAATAGTTACATATTACTGATGAATGCTCTCATGGGGCAAGCACAAGGAGCTTAATGAGCACTTAGAATTGCCACAGACCAGACGAAGTAAATCTTAAAGCTGAGACCATGTATGAGTGTTAGATATGTGAAGACAGGCACAGTAGTCTTGATAGACAAAGGGATAGTATGTCTGGAGTCCACCTACTAGAGGAGGGAGGAGGAGAGGAAGGAGCAAAAGAGAGAGAGAAACAGGGAGAAAGAGAGAGAAGTCACCCGTGTGGTTCAGGCTGGAATTTAGTGGCTCATCTGACTGGCCACTTCTGTACTGAACGGGACATTTTGATTGCAACTATACTGGAACTAATAGGAATCATCTGGGTTTATGGAGGGAACAGATTCCTTGAAGATATAAAAATGATAATGGAACAGAGGTGGATATTCCTGCTGCAGTGGAAAACTTGCTGGTTTGTCATTATGTCTATATGACATTATGCCTATTATTTTTATTGCAATTTTTATCTGGACACTAGTGAAATATCATAGACTTGATTATGCCAAAATCTTGTGCCCTGACTGAGAAGTTGCTCAAGGCTGGTGTATGATTATTTTCTGTATTATTGCATTTCAATTATGGCTATCATAGAAATAATTCAGGCTGAAGGAAACATCTTTCTGTGTGTTGTAAGCTGCTGTAAAACAGTTTTCAACTAGAGCCCATACCTGGAAGGACATCATGGGGAGAAATAAAAAGGCACAGTAGATCCTTAAATAAAAGAGACTTGACCAAGGAAATTCCTACTGTTGGTGGCAGAGGAAAACCAGAATAAGATCTCACTTAATACCTCATACAAAGTTGTACACCAGGTGGATTAGAGACTTAATTATAAAAAATATATACAAGTTTGCATTTGTATAGTGGGGTGTGTGTGTGTGTGTATGTGTGTGTGCGCACGCATGTGTGTATGTTTAATAGAAGAAAATACAGGAGAATATCATTTTGAATGAAAATTTCGGAAGGACTTTTTAGAGAACTTGAAAAACACAAAGTGTAAATCATAAAGTAATAAACTCAAGTACATTGAAATTAAAGATTTTGGTTAAGAAATGTACAAAGGGATATATATATATACCTATACAAATATATACTTTGGACCTCAGATATAAAGGTTTAAGTAAGTAATACTTCTCAGCTAAGTGTATGTTATCATATTGGTCAATACAACGCCCCTCTATTAATTTGTTTATTTTTTGTTTGCTTTATTTGCTGTGTCTGCCCTTTATCTTTATTCCATACTCCTATTCCCCTTTCTACCAACATCAGAAGTGACTATTCTTAAGTGTTGGTTTTGTACATCTTTACTCATAACTATTCATGATTTTATATTGTTTTGGGTGGTAAATTCTTAAAGCATTTAAATGCTATTACATTATATATTTTAGGGTTTTTTTATCTTACCTTTTTTTTTCAATTTTCATTTATGTTGCTCTGTGTATAATGAATCTCTTTCATTTTGTAAAGTTCTACTGTGCCCTATATCTCATTTTATTTATTCCACTAAACTCAACTTCAGGTAGCCCAATAAATTCCAAACAGAAAAAAGAAAATTTAAAAAATCTACTCCTAGCCACATCATAGTATCATAGCTTTCTACTCATAGCCACATCGTCAACCAGAAGATAACATTATTTAGAGTGATCTGATTTCTTAGAAACGACTATTAATGCCAGAGAAGAAGGAAATATTATCTCAAATGTGCTGGAATTAAATAAGTTCTATCCCAGAATTCCAGGTTCTGCATGGTTTTTTAGAATAAAAATGAAAACAATACTTTTGGGGAAGAAAAAACTTTACCATCAACAGATTTTTATAAGAAAAATTAAAAAGACATATATTTGGCAGAAATAGAATCTCAAAAGATTTAAAATAGAATTTGAAAGACATTATGGGTATAGACATTAATATATTATATTAGGCATTAATGTATTATATATAGTTAAATATATTTTTATATAGAATATAATCTAAGCATTCATTGATGTATTAAAAACGGTAATTCCTAATGTGTATGTATGTGGTAGGGGTGGTGACAGAATAAACATTAAAAAATAAAAAAATGGAAAATAATGTAATTTGAAATAAAAGAAGTAATGAAAATTAAAATATTTTAAGGCTCTATTGAAAAGAAAATAAAGATTTTGATTAATTTATACTATATTATATATCTTTTAAAAAATTAGGCTATCCACTATAAGAATAAATAAAGAACATGTAACTTCCAAAAAAGCAGAGGAAATAAAATATAATGAGAATAAAGATAAAGAAGGCTGTAACAATCCAAAAATGAAAATCAAAGGTAAAGAAAACTTTAAAACCAGGTTGACAGGAAGCACTTAATGTTAGAGATAGATACAAATATACTAATAATAATAAAAAAAGGATAAACCAAATTTTCAGTTAAAATACAACTACATTTCAGGATGTGCAAAAATAAAAGCAAGAAAAGGTATCTATTGTTCTCAAGACAAAACAATTACAATTATGTAAAGAGTTAAAGGATAAGAAAGCATACCAGGAAAATATCAATCAGAAGAAAAGCCGTGTAGCTAGATAAGATAGATATTTTAAAAATATATAGTTAAAGTAAATGAGTCTATAATTATATACATTCAATGTAAAAGGAAGATATAACAATTCAGACCTTGATATATCTAAAAGCAAGGCTTGGGATATATACAATATTAATTATACGTTAGGCTACAAAAATAATTGAAAATTTTACATAATGAGTTTTAAACAAATATCCTTCAGTAAGTTATTCCTCAGGGTGACTAAAAGAAAAAAAAAAGGAAAGAAAAAGAAAAAATAAAAAAAGAAGGAAGTTTAAGGTTTTGAGTAGGAAAATAACCTTTATCAAACATATATAAAATGTTTTACACAATAACTTGAAAATGTATTTTTATAAACATATTATTTTTCAAAATTTTCCACGTGCTTTAACTCTCAATACATTTTGAAGATTTGCATTATAAGAACCACATTTTCTGACTACAATGTAATTAAGTTAAAAATACATAATTAAAATAAAATGGAAATAAAAATACACACATATATATTTAAAAATTAAAAAGTAAACTTCTAAAAAGCTCATGAATCAAAGGTAAATTAGAAACTGTCTTGCACTACCTGAAAATAAAAATGCTATAACCAAAACTTGTGGAAAATGAGAAGCTCTGCTTAGAGGGCAATAACTTTAGCATAGCAACCAAGAAAACCCAAAACAAAAAACCCCACAGAATATCAGGAGACAGCTAGGCCAAGCTGCATTTAATCAGAGAAGCAGGAATTATTATTATTATTGTTGTTATTATTTTTTGAGACAGAGTCTGGCTCTGTCGCCCAGGCCGGAGTGCAGTGGCGCGATCTCGGCTCACTGCAAGCTCCGCCTCCCGGGTTCCCGCCATTCTCCTGCCTCAGCCTCCTGAGTAGCCGGGACTACACGCGCCCGCCACCACGCCCGGCTAATTTTTTGTATTTTTAGTAGAGACGCGGTTTCACCGTGTTAGCCACTAAGGTCTTGATCTCCTGACCTTGTGATCCGCCCACCTCAGCCTCCCAAAGTGCTGGGATTACAGGCGTGAGCCACCGCGCCTGGCCAGAAGCAGGAATTATTGATACGGAGTGCAGGGGAGTGAAGAGCGTGGTCCCCTCAAATGATACCGAAGTGTGGAAGGGAAGTGCTGGGTAGAAGAGGGCGTGGTCCCTGGCTAGGGCTCCACCCCCACGGACCTGGGTGAGGATAGGCATTTCCTGTCCAAATATTGCATTGCCCAATATCACCCCGGCCTGCCACACCCCCATCCTGTGCCTATAAACTGCCCTCAGACCTTAGCAGGCAGGCACACAAGCTGCTGGACCTGCAGAGGAGCCTATCTGCAAACCCAGACATCTGGACGTGGAGAGGAGCGAATTGGTGGAGGAACACACAGGTGGCTGGATGTTAAGAGAAGCACATCAGCAGGCCCTGGGATGCGGGCAGGCCACGGACCAGCAGAAGGAGAGGCTGAGTTTGGCTGGGACAGTCAGAGGAGAGCCCGGGCCAGGGAGCAGCCTGACTCCAAGGAAAAAACCATCTCCCTTCTGGCTCCCCCGTATGCTGAGAGCTACTTCCAGTCAATAAAACTTTGAACTCATTCTCCAAGACCACGTGTGATCCGATTCTTCCAGTACACCAAGGTAAGAACCCCAGGATACAGAAAGCCCTCTGTCCTTGCCATAAGGCAGGGGTCTACTTAAGCTGACTAAGGCTAAACTAAAAGAGCACACTGTAACACACACCCACTGGGGCTTCGGCTGTAAACATTCACCCCTAGACACTGCTGTGGGGTCGGAGCCCCACAGCCTGCCGGTCTGTAAGCTCCCCTAGAGATTTGAGCAGGATAGCACTGCAGAAGTGAGCCACACCCCCATCTCACGTCCTGCGAGGGGGATAAGGGAGCTTTTCCTGTTTCATTATTATTAAAAAATGATTATAATTTACTGTATTAACTGATTAAAGGAGAAAACTATGTTTATTTCAACATATTTTAAAACGTGCTTCATAAAATATAATACCTACTTATGATTTTCCAAAAATGGTTCTTTTAATGAACTAGGAATTTAAAAAACCCTTCTTAATAATTAGATAAAATACTAATTAATTAGATAAATAATACTAATTAATTAGATAAATAATAATTCCTCAGATTAATATCTAAACAAAGAAAAACTTATAGCAAGTAGTGTACTTAATGGTTGGAACCATTTTCCTAATGATCAAGGACAAGTTAAAGACGCTTATTATTTTTCTTTTTAAAATACAATTCTTAAACAATACAGTAAGTCAAGGAACAGGAAAGTTTTAAAACTTGAAAAAGAGGGAAAAAATAATTATTTGTAGGTGATAACATGTTTTATTTAGCATCTATTGATCATTAGAATTTAAAGGGAATTGAGCAAGCTTCCTGCATTTGAAATCGATATGCAGAAGTCACTTGCATTTCTGAATACCACAAAAAATGTAATTTTAAACAATGCTGCTGGTATGGGTTGAACTGTGTTCTTCAGAATGACATATTGAAGTCCTATTCCCTGTTATGTATGAATGTGACCTTGTTTGGCAACAGGGTCTTTGCAGATATAATCCAGTTAAGATGCAGTCTTTAGGGTGGGCTTTCTTCCAATATTTCTGGTGTCCTTATGGGAAGAGGAGATGAGACACAGAGACATAAGCAGAGGGAAAACATCATGTGATGACCAGTGTAGCTGCAGTCTTGGAATAATGAAGGTGCAGGCCAAGAGAGAAATGTAAAGTTTCTACAGCCGCTACCACATGCTAAGAATAGGCAAGGAAGGATTCTCCTCAAAGTTATAGAGGAAGCATGGTTCTGCTGACAGCTTGAAATTTGACTTCTGTTCTACAGAACTATGAGAAAATACCTTGTACACTGTTGGTGAGAATATACATGACGTCACCGTCATGGAAAACAGTACTGAGGTTCCTCAAAAGATTAAAAATAAAATTACCATATAATTATGGTACTTGTGGCATTATATAAAAATTATTTTATGTATAAAATAATTTAAAGCACGATCTGGAAGAGATATTTGCACACCTGTGTTCATCAAAACATCAGTCACAACAGACAAGAAATGGAAGCAACCTAAATGCTCATTGAGAGATGAATGGGTAAAGAAAATGTGGCATATACATACAAAAGAGTTTCCTGCAACCTTAAAAGGAAGGAAATCCTGTTGCATGCTGGAACATGCATAAGACTTGAGGACGTTAGGCTATGCAAAACAAGCCAGTCACAAAAGGACAGACACTGTATGATTCTACACATATGAAGTATCTTAAGTAGTCAAAAATCATAGAAACAGAAAACAGGTGGTTACCAAGGGCTGAGTTGGGGAGGGTAGAAGGGATTAGGGCTTAGGCCATATAGAGATTCAATGTTGCAAGAGGAAACATTTTTAGAGATCAGTTGCACAATAATGTGAGTATAGGTAATAATACTCATGAATTGCATCCTTAATGGTTAAAATGATAAATTTAATGTTATGTGTTTTTTACCACCACTAACAAGGCAAACAAAACTTGAGGATTGATATTCAAGTCTTGGCCGGGTTACTAAACTTGAAATCACATTACCCTTGAATAACTGAAAAAAAAAAAAAAAAAAAAAAAGCCAGCACATTGGCTCACGCCTGTAATCCTAGCACTTTGGGAGGCCGAGGCGGGCAGATCACAAGGTCAGGAGTTTGAGACCAGCCTGACCAACATGGTGAAACCATTGTCTCTACTAAAAACACAAAAATTAGCCGGGTGTGGTGGCACATGCCTGTAATCTCAGCTACTCAGGAGGCTGAGGCAGGAGAATTGCTTGAACCCAGGAGGCGGAGCTTGCAGTGAGCAGATATCGCACCACTGCATTCCAGCCTGAGTGACAGAGTGAGACTCCGTCTCAAAAAAAAAAAAAAAAAAAAATTCCCTGTTAAAAAGGTACCATAAATGAAAAATGAAAAGACAAGCTACAAAGAGTATTTGCAATATATATTACTGACAAAGTTTTGGCATCCAAAATATATTTAAAAATTTCTAGAAATCAATGAGAAATAGACAACCTAGTGTAAACATGGGTGAAACATATAAACAGATATTGTGTAGATGAAAAAATACAAATGGCCCATAAATGAATGAAAAGACGCTCAATCTCTTCAGTTTTCTGAGATTCTAATTAAAACCAACTAAAGCCACAATTAGATATAATTTTACATCCACGAAATTTATCCAAGTTTTTTTTAAAGCCATAAAATACTAAGCATTTTGGATATCAGAGAGCAGTGGAATCTCTTGTTCATAAGAGTGAAAATGGGTATAAACCAACTTGGTATAAACCAGCATTATGCAGTAAAGCTCAGTGTATCCTAAGAATCAGAAACTGCTCTTGGATGTATTCATTCACACTCTTGCCTGTGCAGTCTAAGAGATGTGCAGGAAGAGGCTTACGGTAGCTTTTAAATAATAATAAAATGAACTAACACAAAACCTGAAAAGGTCTATCAGCAGTGGAAAGAAAACATGAATTGTGGTTTATTCAAATAACAGACTATTATAAAACAGTTATTGTGAATGAACCAGTCACTTGCATAATGTTAGTGAGTCTCAAAAAATATTCCAAATAAAAGTAGAAAGTCACAGAAGACAACTAATGTTGATCTCACTTATGAACTCAAATTACATTTTTATTTAAATTTAAAAACCCAATATAAAGCAATATATTATTCATGAACATATCTACAAGTGATAAAATATAATGAAAAGACGATATTATCACAAAAATCAGATTTGTGGTTACATCCAAGAGTGAGGGTTGTGGATTCTTTGAGATACAAGAGTATTCTATTTCTTAAGTTGGTGGAGGGTAAGTACATGTTCAGTCTTATTATCTGCAAAATGTATATGGATACTCTGTATGGTCCTTTTTATGTATCATATACTTTTGGAGCTGGATAGGACCCACTTCCATGAGGAACCAAATTAATGGTATTCACTCGGATGCTGCTGGAAATAAACCTTATTAAGAAAATGGTTTGAACCTGTTACCTAGCAGCTGCTACTCATTGTCTATGAAGCTCCAGGTAAAGTTTTAAGTTTCCAAAGCTGCTTCTTGATCAATAATTCCCCAAACCCCACTGGCTCTGAGGCTGCCAATTTGTCATTTACTTTAAAGCCAGGCCCCAATGTAATGATTGCTGATTAAAGGAGGCCTCCTCACCCATAACTTCATTATCACCCAGTTTGCAGGGGGAGCGTTGGGTCCTGGAATGAACTGAAAGCCAGCCAAAGCAAATTTATGACCTTGCATACTGTATCGATTTTGATGGGAACAAAAGCAGAGAAGGTCAATAGGATTGCATCCAAAGTCATTACTGGGCAGGAGAGAAGACTAAATCAAAATGAGCCATTAATTTTCTTAGCCATTTTTTTATCCATAAAATGGCCTCATAAATGATCCCATATCTTGGTGTCAGAACTTTATAATAAAATGGCAGTGGGACTCTGATGGAAAATTCAGATCTGGGGACAAGAGCAAAGGAATAAATTCTTAAAGTTTTCTGTATGAGAATGATAAGAAGAGTTATTTGATGTAGGTGAATAATTTGTTTGGAAGGTGTTTTGTTTTCTGGTCTAAATCTGGCTTTTCTTGCTTTAATGCCCTGACTTGTCTGCCTTACTCCCAGTTTTCTCACCATTGAAAGGAGAGAGGGAGAGAAGGGAGAGAGAAAGACCTGGAGACCCCTAGTATAATAGAATGAAGTCGGCTATATGGCAACCTTGAATTCTGGTGTTTCGTACCCTTGTTCCAGAGAAAAAATAGATGACTATTTTAAGAAATGCTTCCTAAATACATAGAAGACAAAGACAAATGTGGACAACAAAAAAGCAATGCTAGTTTTAATTCTAATGATATTATAAGTAACTGTTATGCTAAAACTACTAACAGGTTATCATTCATTGAGCATTCAGTAGTTGGATGACATTCTGCCCTTGTTACACTCATCTTCTTTAATCCTTTTAACAACCCTGAGATGTAGGTGTTATTATCTCCATTTTAAAAATAAGAAAATTGGGGCTCAGGAAGGCAGTAAAGGTTAGCTCATATAGCTAATATGTAACAGGTTTTCAAATAGGGGTGCTGGACTTAAAACTTTGTGTCTTAAAACTCTGTTATAGTGACTTGCAAAGATGTTGACACCTCCATAACTATAGCTTAAGGACATTTTTCCAGGCTGATTTTGAGCTAATAAAAGCCCTGCTGTTCCCTGAGGAGACTCCTGAACTGTCACATGGCTTGAGCCTCTCAGCTTGCAGGTTACCGTGGCTATCCCTGGAGGCTCCCGGCATATTTGATTATAAATACAAGCAGCTGGGAGAGGCTTTTGGCCTGAGTTCTGTTGTATCTAGACTCAGATACTGAGGCTGTTGGTACCGATTGTCAGATTCAGAAATATTTTAAGGGACCATGGTCCCTTAATACGAAGTGCCCATGGTTTTTGCTTTCCGGTTGTGAAGTTGCCTCTGGATCCCCCCGTCTCCATTCTTTGCCCCTTGCAGTTTTATTTTTCTCTCAACATCCTCCATCTCTAATTCATCTCCTTTCTAACTGATCTCTTCATCTTTGCTTTCTGTTTCTTCACATTTAGAGATGTGTGACTTTCTTAAAACGGCTTCCCCAAATTATTGTCCCCTGGGCCCTACCCCCTGAAACATGGCTTCATAGCACATGTCGCTTCTCTCTTCTCCAGGGGATGCTGAGCAGGTCAACATTCTTTCCTGCCTTCCTTTCTCAGCTGTCACCATGTGGGAGTGATGGAGAGATGCTAGCAAGACACACTTCTCAGCAGGAAGTCTGAGTCATCTCTTGGTTTTTAAGACCCCCAGTTTTTTCTGCTCGTACAGCCTGAGCCACTGTCTTCCCTTCAATTATGCCCCCTGAAGCTCTCAAACATGGGCCACCTTTCTTAGGCCTTACCTCCAATTTTGCCCCTCTGAGAAGCCCTCCTGCTCACCCCAATTTCCAGCATCCCCTTTCTTTCAGATTCTTTAAAGATCCTCTTTTTCCCTCCTTTAATACTTTGTAGGAGCCAGATGCCACACAAGGCAGCTTACACACATGGCACTATTCCTTTAAATATTCCTCTAAGGAATTTCCTTCATCTCTCATTCTACAGGCAAAGAAACTAAAGATCCCCACAGATCCTAGTGGTGAGTGGAACAGGAATGATGACTTCAAAGGTGGGGAAGCAGGGATCTGTCTCCTCTCAGGGGGTTTATAAACAGAGAAGTCCTTCAGAAGAATCATGGCATATTCAAAAAGCACAGATCCCTGGGCGTTAGTCAGCTGAGCGACCACTCAGAATTCCTTAGGGCAGGGCCAGCCTCTTCAGGAGACCAGAATCCAGATGTTTTCTGTGTCCCCACCCTGCACTCAGACCATTTCTGGCTCCGTGATAGCCTGTTCCTCACTCACCTACTCACTATCATTTTTTAAATTTTATTGTTTGACACTTCAGAGTGGCAGAGCAGAGTCAGATAGCCTGAATTTATATTTACACACATACATGCACACACAAATACAGAAACTGGAACTTTGACAACTTACAGCGTGTGTGTGTGTGTATAAGTTTATACATATTTATATAAAGGGATTTCAAAAAGTTTGTGAAAAATAAAATATAAAAATTACAAACTTTATTTCTCAACATAAGATCTATCAAGTTCAAGATACTTTTATAAGCCATGATATCAGCCATTTAGTTCATCCCTAAGAACTGAGAGTCCTAGGAATTTAACCATGTCAGTGCAGTCACTTTTACATTAAAATAACTGAAAAACAAAATGGGTGTCCTTATAGCTTTTTCAGATTAGGAAACAAAAATAAGTCAGAAGCAGCCACATCAGGACAGTATGATGGATGCCTCATGATTTTCTATTAAAACTCTCACAAATTTGCCCTTGCTTAATGAGAGGAATGAGCAGGTGCGTTTTCGTGGTGAAGGACTCACTGGTGAAGCTTTCTTAGGAGTTTTCCTGCTAAAGCTTTGGTTAACTTTTTTACAACATGCATAATAAGCAGATGTTATCATTCTTTGGCCCTCCAGAAAGTCAACAAGCAAAATGCCTTGAGCATCTTAAAGAACTGTTGCCAATGTCTTTGCTCTTGACAAATCCACTTCCACCACTTGGTAGCCATTGCTTTGATTGTGCTTTGTCTTAAGATCACACTGGCAAGGCCAAGTTTTATCTCCTATTAAAATTTTTTGAAGAAATGCTTCAGGATCTTGATCTTACTTGTCTAAAATTTTCATTGAAAGCTCTGCTCTGGTCTGCACCTGATCTGGTGCAATAGTTTTGGTACCCATCAAGCGAAAAGTTTGTTCAATGATAATTTTTTAATCAGAATTGTGTAATACCAAACCAATTAATATATGTATAGTGTTGTCTGTTTATGCTGTTTATTGTCAGCCTTCCTCAGTTAGGGCGTTTTGATGGTTAGTATTAAGTGTCAACTTGATTGGATTGAAGGATGCAAAGTATTGTTCCTAGGTGTGTCTGTGAGGTTGCTGCGGAAGGAGATTAACATTTGAGTCAGTGAACTGGGATAGGCAGGCAGACCCTTAATCTGGGTGGGCACCATCTAATCAGCTGCCAGTGCAGCCAGAATAAAAGCAGGCAGAAGAATGTGGAAAGACTAGACTGGCTTAGTCTTCCAGCCTACATCTTTCTCCCATGCTGGATGCTTCCTGCCCTCAAACATTGGACTCCCAGTTCTTCAGCTTTGGGACTCTTGGACCTTTGACCACAGACTGAAGGGTGCACTGTCACCTTCCCTACTTTTGAGGTTTTGGGGCTCAGACTAGCTTCCTTGCTCCTCAGCTTGCAGACAGTCTATTGTGACCTCACCATGTGATTGTGTGAGTCATACTCCTTAATAAACTCCCCTTTATATATACATCTATCCTATTCTGTCCCTCTAGAGAATCCTAATACAGGCATGAACAAAATTAATTTTTTCTTGCATATCGATGTGGATGATGTGTTGCTGTGGGTTTCATCTTCAGCATTCTTTTGTCCCTTCTTAAAATGAATTACTCATTTGTAAAATGTGTCATTGTTCCCACAAACTTTTCATAAAGCATCAGTGATTTCATCATTCTTCCACTCAAGCTGTATCATAAATTTGATATCTGCCCTTGCTTCAATTTTAGCAGGATTTTTATTGCTCTGATAGGGGCTCTTTTCAATCTGATATCTTATCCTTCTTAATACCTCAAATTAGATTCTGCTCAGAGATGTTATTAAAAGTTGGCAAATTTATTTTTGTTTATTTCAAAAACAAAACCATGTACAATTTTCCCATAGTAGGCATTTTTCATGAACTTTTTGAACTTTCTTAGCGTATAAATAACCTTATTTAGCCATATATGTGTGTATAGAAGTGTTTTTTTACATACACATATATATATAATATAGGCATTCTTATATATGTGTAATATATAATGACATATATACACACACAGATGCACACACACATGGTTATATAACCTTATTTAATTGGTTGAGGTTCCATAACCTCTCAAAGTCTCAGTTTTATTGTCTGAAAATTGGGATAAAGAATGTCATGGTATTTTATTTTATTTAAATACTTCATATAGTACAAGGGTTACTAAGGAATTTGTGTTTAAATATAAATTTGGTTTATTCCCATAAGCCAATGGCTTTATTCACAATAGCATCAATTCTTTGTAATGTTGAAGCGGAAATCTGGTTTGTCAGATGCTTCAAGAAATAGTGAACAGAAAACCATATATACTCTGCATTGTTGGTGAAATGTACCTCATTTTGACTCTGTGATCTGACTTTAGAAATAACTCACTAGGTGATTTGTAATATGACTTCATTCTGGAAATTACCTCATAGTAATGTAATGAGAAATGATGACGATGATGGTGATAGTGATGATGAAGTAGTGAATTTTCTTTCTCTAAGATCAAATTCTTAAAAGGTCATACCCAGATATTTGATGTGCAATGCTAAATATAGATGGGTAACATGTACATTTAAGAAATGCCTAATGATTTATGTCCAAGTGCTATGGTTTGAATATTTGTACCATCCAAACCTCATGTTGACATTTGATCCCCAATGTTGGAGGTGAAGCATGATTGGGGTGCTTGGATCATGAAGGTAGAGCCCTCATGAACAGATTAATGCCCTCCCTATGAAGAGGGGCAAGCGAATTCTCACTATATTAGTTCCTGGGAGAGCTGGTTGTTTAAGAAAAAGCATGGCACCTCTCCTCTCACTTCCTCTGTCACTACGTGATCTCTGCACACATGGGCTCCCCTTTGCCTTGAGTGGAAGTAGCCTAAGTCTTTCATCAGATTCTTGATCTTCCAGCCAGCACAGTGATAAGTAAAACAAACCTTTTTTATTTATAAATTACCAAGTCTCAGATATTCCTTTATATTAATAGCAGCACAAACAGATTAAGACGCCAAGGTAATTTAATGGTTCCGAAAAAGAATGTTTCCATACATGGGCATACATGTACATGCATATACATGTACCTTTTAGGTACATTTAGAGAAACACACAAACAAAACATTAACTAAACATTATTGAACTATACTGGTGCAATGAAACTGCTTGACTCCTATTTTGCTTTTTTTCTTCCCTGTCAAGAAGAATAAGCTTTGGACTATAAAGTGTGGAATGAACATTACTGAAAGCAAAGTAAATACACTCATGATGGGTAAAAAGATTGTAAGAATAAACATATTTGCTTTGCATGAGTTCAAACCTTTTGACCAATCTCAAGTACACACCAGGGTCTCAAGAGAATGTCTAAATTAGACAACTGCCATTGATCTTTCATTCATGTAAAGACAAAGAGGTTCCGAGAGACTGGAAAAGGGAACATTCCATAAATAATTGGAGGAATAAGGTTTATTCCACAAACCACTCACTAGTAAGCTTCTAGTGAGTGGTTTGTGGAATAAACCTTATTCCTCCAATTTGTGTCTGCTAAAAACATTAAAATCCCTTTAGACTACATTTTCACAGTCTAAGATGTAAGTCTTTGCCATGGTAAGATTGCTCTTCCCCCTCCCTCCTTCCATCCCTCCCTTTCTTCTTTCCTTTCTTCCATCTTTTTTCTTTTTTCTTTCCGTCTTCCCTTCCTTCCACTGCTTTCTTTCCTTTTTCCCTTTCTCCCTTCCTCTCTTCTCTCTCTTTCTAATAAATATTTTATTTTAAAATATTTCTTATGAAGATAGTACAAAAATTGCCAAGGTAGTACAGATAGTTTTCATACACCTTGCAACTGGTTTCCCCTTTTATTAACATCTTACATTAATATGGTGTATTTATTATAGCTAACGAACCTATATTGGCACATTTATAAGGAATGTAGCCAATTATTATTAGCTGGAGTCCATGCTGTATTCAGAATTCCTTATATTTTACCTAATGTCTCGTTTCTGTTCTAGGATCCTCTAAAAGATACCACCACATCGCATTTAGTAGTTTTGGCTTTGGCTTTTTAGGCTCCATAGGCTGTGACAGTTTCTCAGACTTTCCTTGTATTTGATGACCTTGACAGTTTTGAGGAATTATAATAAGATTAGATAGTTTATAGAATCTTGCCCAACTAAGATTTGTCTGATTAGATTGGGCTTACAGCATTTTAGGATGGAGACCAGAAAGGTAAAGTGCTATTTTCATGACATCATATCAAGAGTTCATGCTATCTATATGACTTATCAGTGTTGATTTTGACCTTGATTACTTGGTCGAGGTAGTGTCAGCTATGTTTCTTCAATGTAAAGTTACCCTTTTCTTCATTTTCAAAATTGTACTTTTAGAAAGAAGTCATTGTGTTTAGTCCACAGTTAAGGAGTGGGGAGTTAAGCTCCTCCTCCTTGAAGATAAAGTATTACAGAAGTTATCTGAAATTTTTCTTCACTTGAAAATTTTCTCTTCTTTCCTGTTTATTTTTTATCCCACATTTATTTATGTCAGCATGAACTCATAGATATTTATTTTATACTTCAGGTTATAATTCAACAATATTTTGTTGCTCAAATTATTTCAGATTGGCTGAGTACTCTTTCAGTTAGCTTTTCTGTCCCTTTGACATGTTTTCTGTGTTTGCTGTTTCTTTACTTTCTGGCACGTTAAGATGCTGAAGGCTCATCTTGCATATTTCCTGCCTGCTATAGTTTAAATATTTTTGTTCTCTCCAAAATTCTTGCATTGGAAACTTAATGCCTAATTTCAACAGTATTGGAAGGTGGGGCCTAATGAGAGGTGCTTAGGTTATGAGGCTTCTCCCTCGTGAATGGATTAATTATGCTATTAAAAAGGGTGGGAATGGGTGCTTCCTCTTTCTGTCTCTTCCATTCTTCTCCCAGGTGAGGACACAGGTAGAAGGCCTATACGAGATGCTGGTGGCTTGATCTTGAACATTCCAGCCTCTAAAACCCTGAGAATAAATTTCTTTTTGTTAATTACCCAGTCTCAGATGTTCTATCACACATCTGAGTAAGACAGATATCACCATAAAACAGACCAAGACACTGCCCCAGTCCTAGTATCAGCCATTTTCCTTAGAAAACTGGTTCCCTTTACTGGTAGTGGGATTAGAAACCAAGATCTCGACACTACTTATACTCCTTAATATTGCATATCTTTTTATTTCTAGGTCCTTTCAGCCAACAGAGCAAAGAAATATGTGCACGTATACTAACACATGTGTGGGTTGTATATTTATAGACATTCACATACAGATTATATAGATCCATATATACACAATGGGTTGCATATACACATATGTAAAGATCCATATCGATGCATATATTGTGGATATATTAAGCTAAAAATAAAGTTATACTGATGTCTCCAACTATAATCCATCACACATATATCGTTCTAGCTTTATTACCTTGCTTATTTGTAACCTCCCACTTCAACAGTGAGAAACCCAGCTTCTGCCATCCACCATTCAGTCATTTAATTGTTTGATTTCAGCATACATGTATATATTGGTATGAAAACTATTATCCCTTATCTCCATAATAAACAACTTTTCCAACTAGAGTATAGTATTTTTTGTACAATTTCTTTTACTTTTCGACTTCTAGACTCCACTCATTTCAGAAATTACTTATATTAGCGCCTTTCCCTCTCACTTCCTTTAGTGAGTTTGCTTTATACATTAGTAATATTTTGTTAGATTCTTTTGTCATATTCTACATTCCTTTCTGGAATCCTCTGACCTACTGAATGAATTTTTAAAAATTCAAGTGTACTGTTTCTGCTATAACCTTCTATTGGTTTTGACAAATGCAATATGCCATTTTTCCACCTTTATAGTAGCATACAGAATAGGTTCATCGTCCTAAAATTCCCGTGCTGCACCTATTCAACTCTCCCTCCCTAAACCCAATCCCCAGTATCCACTGACCATTTTACCCTCTTTGTATCTGTATAATTTACCTTTCCCAGAATATCATATAATTGGAATCATAAGAATCTTATAAATACTTTTACTGATTGCCCTCTTTTGCTCAGCAATATACATTTAATATAAATTTAAGACACATCCACATATTTTTGTGAGTTGATTGTTCACTTAATGTTCTGGCCAAAAATATTCCATTCTACGGATGTGGGATGTGCCACAGGTTGTTTATCCTTACACCTACTGAAGTTGGTTCCAGGTTTTGGTGATTATAAATACTGGTGCTATAAATATTCATGTTAAGGTTTTTGTGTGGACATAACTTTACTCATTAGATAGGTAAATACCTAGGAACCTGATTGCTGGACTAAATGGTAAGGCAATGTTTAGCTTTGTAAACTAACAAACTCCACTCCACAAAGGCTGTGCCATTTTGCATTCCCATGAGCAATAAATTAACATTCTAGTTGCTTTGATTCGTCACCAGTGTTTAATCCTGTCGGCTTTTAGGTTTTAGCCAAATAGGTATGGAGTGGTACTTTATGGTTATTTTAATTTTCATTTTTAATACAACAAGTAGTATTGAACATGTTTTCTGACACTATTTGCATCTGCCTATCTTCTTTGTTGAGATGTGTTTTGAAATATTTGGCCATTTTAAAAGTGAGTTGTTTGCTTTCTTCTACTTGACTTCTAAGAGTTATTTGTATATTTTGGAATGAGTTTTTAATTAGGCATGTATTTTGCAAATATTTTCTCCTAGTCTGTGGCTTGTCCTTTTCTTCTCTTAACAGTGACTCTTTTGAGAAGAAGTTTTTAGTTTTAAGTGTGTAATTAATTGTTTTTTTCTTTCATAAATTGTAATTTTGTTGTTGCATGAAAATCTCATTACCAAATCCAGGGCTACATATATTTTCTCCTATGTTTTTTTCTACATATTTTTAGTTTTACATTTTAAATTTAATCCTATTATTCATTCTTAGTTAATTTTTGCGAAAGTTGTAACTTTTAAGGTCTGTGTCTAGGTTCATTTGTTTTCTTTTTCTTTTCTTTTCTTTTTTTTTAATTGGATGTCCAACTGTTCTAGTATTATTTGTGAAAAGGCTATCTATTGAATTGCTTTTGGTCATTTGTCAAAGATCAATTGACTATATTTGTGTGGATCTACTTCTGGGTTCTCAGTCTCTTTACATTGATCTATGTGTCTAATACTTTCACCAATTCCATGCTGGCTGAATACTGTGGCTTTATAGGAAGTCTTAAATTTGCATAGTATGAGTCCTATAACCTGGTTCTCCTTCTTCAGCGATGTATTGGCTACTGTAGGTTCTTTGAGTTTTATTACAATTCAAGAGTGATTTCATCAATATCTACAACATGGCTAGCTGGAATTTTTATTGAGATTTCATTGACTCTATACATCAATTTGAGAAGGTTAAAATTGAAACAATATTGAATATTCTGATCCATGAACATAAAAAATATCTTTATTTCAGCTGGGCGCCGTGGCTCAAGCCTGTAATCCCAGCACTTTGGGAGGCCAAGGTGGGTGGATAACCTAAGGTCAGGAGTTCAAGCCTGGACAACATGGTGAAACCCTGTCTCTATTAAAAATACAAAAAAATTAGACAGGTGTGGTGGACGCCTGTAATCCCAGCTACTTGGGTGGCTGAGGCAGGAGAATTGCTTGAACCCGGGAGGCGGAGATTGCAGTGAGCCAAGATGGTACCATTGCACTCCAACTTGGGTGACAAAGTGATTCCTCAATGATCTAGAACCAGAAATACCATTTGACCCAGCAATCCCATTACTGGATATATACCCATTGGATTGTAAATCATTCTACTATAAAGACACAGGCACATGTATGTTTATTGTGCACTGTTCACAATAGCAAAGACTTGGAACCAACCCAAATGCCCATCAATAATAGACTGAATAAAGAAAATGTGGCACATATACACCATGGAATACTATGCAGCCATATAAAAGGATAAGTTCATGTCCTTTGCAGGGACATGGATGAAGCTGGAAACCATCATTCTCAGCAAACTAACACAAGAACAGATAACCAAACACCACATGTTCTCACTCATAAGTGGAAGTTGAACAATGAGAACACATGGACACAGGGAGGGGAACATCACACACTGGGGCCTGTCGGGGGTGGGGGGCTAGGAGAGGGATAGCATTAGGAGAAATACCTAATGTAGATGATGAGTCGATGGGTGCAGCAAACCACCATGGCACATGTATACCTGTGTAACAAACCTGTATGTTCTGCACATGTATCCCAGAACTTAAAGTATAATAAAAAAATTTTAAAAAAGGTATCTCCATTTCTTCAGATCTTTGATTTCTGTCATCAGAGTTTTGTAATTTGCTACTAATAGATCCTATTAATATATTGTTATATTCATATCTATTTTATTATTATAATGTTATTGTGAGTATTTTATTTTATTATTATTATTTTTTGAGATGGAGTCTCACTCTGTCACCCAGGCTGGAGTGCAGTGGCACAATCTCAGCTCACTGCAACCTCTGCCTCTCGAGTTCAAGCGATTCTTCTGCCTCAGCCTCCCGAGTAGCTGGGACTACAGGCGCACGCCACCATGCCTGGCTAATTTTTGTAATTTTAGTAGAGACAGGGTTTCACCATATTGGTCAGGCTGGTCTCAAACTTTTGATCTCGTGATCCACCCACTTCAGCCTCCCGAAGTGTTGGGATTACAGGCATGAGCCACCACACCTGGCCAGTAATATTTTTAAAATGTCAAATTTTAATTTTTCGGTAGTGAAATATAAAAAAATTGAATATGTATATTAATCTTGGATCTTGTGACCTTGCTATACATGTTATTAGTTCCAAATATTTTTTGTTGTCGACTTTTTATATATACAATTATGTAATCTAAGAATAAAGATGGTTGTATTTCTTCCTGTTCAATCTGCGTAATTTTTATTTTATTTTCTTGTATTCTTGCCCTATCAAAGATTCTAGTGCAACTTTGAATAGGAGTAGTGAGCAAAGAGAGTCTTGCTTTATTCCAGTATTATAGGAAATGCCTTTTATTTCATTAAGTATCATGTTATCTGTAGGCTCTTTGCAGACGTCCTTCATCAAGTTGAAAAAGTGCCCCTCTATTTTTACTTTGCTGAGAGATTTTTATTATGAATGGGTGTTAGACTTTTTGAAATGCTTTTTCTCTTGCATGTATGGATGCAGTTATGTGATATTTCCTCTCTAGCTTATTGATGTGAAGGATTATATTAATTGATTTTTAAAAGTTTAACCAGCCTTGCATACCCAGAATAAATCCTGCTTGCTTATGGTGTATAATACCATTTATTTATTCTTTGTTAGATTAAACTTGCTACTATTTTGTTGTGGATTTTTACATGAATGTTTATGAGAGCTATATCTCTGTAGTTTTATTTGTCTTTATCCAGTTTTTATATGATGATAATGATAGATCATAGAGTTCATATTCTGTAATACATTGTAGTAAATTGGTATCATTACTTCCTGAAATATAAGTAGTAAAAATAAGTTTTGCACTTGTTTTAAATTAAGTTCTAAGTATTTTTATATGCTGTTGTCAATGAAATTATTCTGTTAATTTATTTTCATATTCCTCATCACTAATGCACAGAAATACAATTGATTTTTATTTATTAATCTTACATCTTACAACCTTTTTAATTGTTTATAATCACTTTTTAGTGGACTCTTTAAGATTTTTATATACAATATAATATCATCTGCAAGTAGAAATAATTTTCTTTCTTTCTAATTTGAGTGCCCATTGTTTTCTTATCTAATTACCCTGGCTAGAATCTCTACTACAGTATTGAATAGAAACAATGAAATTGTACAATTTCTTTCTCATTTTAGGGGGAAAGCATCCAGTCATTTAGCATTAAGTATTATGTGAGCTATGGTTTTTTTTTGGCGTGGTGGGGAAATTTTTTTTTATCCAGTTGTGGAAGTTCACATCTATTTCTAATTTGTTGAGGGATTTTATTATAAAAGGATGTTGGATTTTGTGAATGCTTTTTCTGTGTTTACTGGGATGATTATGTGACTTTCAACTTTTATTTCATTGATATGGTGTATAAAATTAATTGATGTCTGGTTATTAAAGCCACTTTGCATTTCTGAGATAAATTCCACAAGGCTTTTCTAATTTGCTAAATTGTATTTGCTAGTATTTTGTTTAAGATTTTTATGTCTATATACAAAAGGAATATTCATTTGCAGTCTTTTATGTTGTGATACATTGCTTTGGTTTTGGTATCAAGGTACTATTAGCTTCATAGAATAAACTGAGTAGCGGTCACACCCCTTCTATTTTTAAATGATTTTTTTGAAAAAACTATGTCCATTAATTTTTTTAAAAAATGTTTTGTAGAATTCACCAGGGAGGCTGTCTGGCCCTGGGCTTTTCTGTCTGGATCATTATTATTATTATTCTATATTTGTGTTTTTCTAGGAAATTGTCCATTTTATTGAATTAATTATTAACATACAATTTTTCAAGCATTTCTTGAAATTCTTTTTATTTCTGTAAGGTTATATTAATGATCTCTCATTTCCAATTTATTTGAGCCTTTTTTATGGTCAGTCTAGCTGAAGTATTTTTTGATATTCTGTCCATTTTGTTGAGATTTTCAACGAAACATGTTTGCTTGCATTAACTTTCTCTACTGCTTTTCTATTCTGTTTCATAATTCTGTTGCCTAACCTTTATTATTTCTTTATTTCCACTTGCTTTGGGTTCAGTTTTTTTTTTCATTTTTTTTTTTTTGCAGTGCCTTAAAGTAGGTTGTTATTGATTTGAATTTTCTTTTATTTTTTTTACTGTCAGCATTTACAGCTATAAGTTTTTCTCAAAACACTGCTTCAGCTGCATTTCATAAATATTCTGAAGTGTGTCTTTATTTTAAGTCATTTCAAAGTATTTTTAATTTTCTTTTGGATGTCTTCTTTGATCCATGTGTTACTTAGCAGTGTACTGTTCAATTCCACATATTTGTGAGTATCCCAGATGTCTTTCTGTTACTGATTTTTCATTTTGTTCCATTATTGTCGGAGAACATACTTTATATTGTTTCCATTTTAAATTATTGATATTTGTGCTATGTGCATATGGCATTTCCTAGAGAATGTTCCATGTGCACTTGAGAAGATTGTATATTCTGCAGTTGTTAGATGGAGGGTTTATTGATGTTTGTGAAGCCTACTTGGCTTATATTGTTAAAATCTTTTATTACATGTTGATTTTCTGCCTACCTGTTTTTTCATATCTAAGAAAATATGATTGTCATTATTAAAACCAGATTATTGACTCCAACTTTCATTGTTAAACTGTTTTTTATTCTGTCGGTTGTGTTACATACATTTTGGTGCTCTGTTCTTAGGTGTGTATATACTCATAATTAATGTGTTTTTCTAACACATTTAGCCTTTTATCATTATAAAATGTCCCTCTTATTTCTATTGATATTTCCTTTTTACTTTAACATTTATTTCTTACTGTTATTATTATAACCATTTCTGCTTTCTTGTGGTGGCTATTTATGTGGCATTTTCTTTTATCCTCTTACTTTTTGTCTATTTATCTTTGAGACCAAAGTATGTTTCTCGTACACAATATATAGTTGTATCTTGATTTTTATTTGGCCTAACGATTACTGCCTTTCAGTTAGGTTGCTTAATCTATTTACTTTCAATGTTAGTATTGATATAGTTGGATTTACTTTTGCCATCTCACATTTTGTTCTATGTGTGTCTTGTGTCTTTCCATCTCTCTGTTTACATTGCCCATATGCTCTTGCATATTGTCTACTTTATTCATTAGACCCTTTAGCATAGTAATCACAGTGTTTTACAATTCAGGGCTGTTAATTCCAATGCCGCTGTCATATCTGGGTCTGGCTTTGATGCCATGCTTTGTCTCTTCAAACTGTGTGTTTCTTGCCTTTTAGTGTGTCTCATAGTTTTCTCTTGATATCCAGACATGATGTGCTGGGTGAGAGGAAGTGCTGTAAATAAGCTTTAGTAATGAGGGTAAGGTGTGGGGGGCAGGGAAACGTTCTATAATCCTGTGATCTCAGTCTTTTAGTAGCCTGTGCCTCTAAAATGTGAACTTCGTATGTGCTCCTTAGTCACCATCCCTCCCTCATTAGGTGGGATAGGGTGGTTGGAGTGGGCTGGAGTGGGTATTTCCCTTTTTCCATATACAAGGCTTAGAGGGGGCTGGAGTTGGTCTTCTTTCCCCAGGTCAGTTAGGCCTTGGTAAAGTCCAGAAGTTTAGGCTCTGGTGAAATAGTTCTTTTCCGAGGGGATACTGTAAGAAAACAGAATGCTCTGGTGTATTTCAAAATCATTCCTTTTCCCCTCATCTCTTCCAGAGGGATGAGAAGATTTTTCTCTTATATTTCCTGTGCAGACCTGGTAGAGCTCCTGGAGGTAAAACTCACAAAAATATAGGGGCCTTCCTATGACTGGGGACCTCTGGAGATTTTAACTCTCTGTTGCCCTCACTGAGCCTCCAGAAATTCATAAATCCTAGCATGGTGGTTGTATTCCTGCCAAACTTTAAAATAGTTTACTCTATTCTATTCCTACCTTCATGAATTCTGATGAGTTCACATCAGTACTTGTCCGTTTTCCTCTCTAGGTAAGGTGTTTAATTTCCCCCCCTCTCTCTTCTCTCAAGGTTTTGTGTTGTCTCTGTATTTTGAATATGGCATCTCTAGGTGTAGCTTTTTTTGTGTTATTTCTCCTGCTTCTTGTTCATTGAGTTTCCTAGATCTATGATTTAGTGTCTGTCATTAATTTTGGACAATTATCAGCCTGGATTACCACAAATATTTTCTCTACTTGGATTATTTCTTCTTTTCCTTCTGATATTCTCATAACATTTATGTTAAGCCTTTTGAAATTAGTGCCCCATTTTTGGATGTATTATATTTTTTTAAAATTATATTTTTCTGTTTGTATTTCAGGTTGGGAAGATTCTACTGACTTATCTTCAAGTTCATTGACTTTTTCATTTGTTTGTCCTCAGCTGTGTCCAGTCTACTGATGAGCTCATTCTTCAAAGCTATACTTCACTTTTTACAGTGCTTTTGATTTCTAGTATTGCCTTTCTTAAAATTTCCGTATCTCTCCTTACATTATTCATCTGTTGTTGATTGTTGCTGCTTTTTTCCGTTGGAGCCCTTACCATATTAACTTCAGTTGTTTTACATTGATTTTCTGATAATTTCATTGTCTGTGGCATATCTGAGCCTGGCTCTGCTGCTTGCTTCATTTCATCACAATTTTTTTCTTATATTTTGACATTCTAACTAATTTTTTGTGTTGAAGACCAGGTATGGTTCATCAGGTAATAGAAACTGGGGAAAAATGTGAGAATTTATTTTAATCAGACTAGGAGTTGTGCTGGGTTTGACGTTTGTTGTAGTTATGAGTGTCAAAGGCTTCAAGTTTCTCTAGAGTCTTTTTTTCTCCAATTTTGACTGTGAGCTTCCCTGAGCACTCACCCTCATCAGAGAGAGTGTGTCTCTTGCAGCTGTTTCACTTGTGATTCACTACTGTTATACTGAGTCTCTGTTGGTGTGGTAGTAAGATGTGGGGAGGGAAGTTGTGGTACATGGCCTAAAATTAATACCATGTACTACCTGGCACCTGAAACTGGATATGTTGTGAATGTTTTAATCACAGTCCCCTTACCCATTGTGCTCCTGTGGATAAAGTCCACTAGTCAAATAACCCTCCTTGCCACAGTGACACAGCATGACATTTACAGTATGAAGAGTCCCCCACCAGGTTACTTAAGGGTGTACTTTGGCTGCCTGAAGTCTGAAGGCTGGGTAATGAGCCAAGGCTATGTTGCTCAGCCAAAGAGCTGGTGTCCTTGAGAACCCAAACATCCCAGAGAGTTTCTGAGAACCTACCAAAGAAAACAGCTTCATCACTCAAACACAGTAGGCAAAGAACTAGAAAATTAGCTTAAAAGCAGTTTCGAGTCAGGAGATGGTGTGGACCTCTTGACTGTCCTACTGCTGTCCAGGAATGCCCTGTATATAAGTCCTAATAAGTTCATCTACTCTTCATGCTGGAGTTGCCTGGGTCATTCTTTGGTCCCTCAGTTTCTTCCCAATTTGGAGGAGGATGTAATGGTCTCAAGTTTTTCTTGTAACAATGCTTGCCTATTGCTGCATGGGCTTCAGTTCCCTGCCAGCCTGCAGAATAATTTGAAGAAGCCAATCACATCTTCCGTGGGAACCAGAGGGCACCTTAACCCCCTTGATAGTACAAAGCCTGGTACCCATAGACCCCGCTTATTCAATATATTACTGAGTACAAACGCCACGTGACTTTGCATGTCTTACAATGTCCTCCTCCTCTAGGCTGTGGGTATATGTGACTAGTAAATTGCTTTTGATTTCACCTGTCCCATGTTGGATGTTGCATGTTCTAACATTCTCCTAACTCTAAGGTGTAAGCCTTCTTTTACCAAGAGGGTGAAATGAAATAATCAAAGCAGAAGGGTTCTACAATATTAAAAAGTAAATCTCCATCTTTTAGTAAGCCTGTGTCTCTCAGTTGTGAACTTTGCAAGTTTGTTTCCTCCCACCAGTGGTACCTTATCTCCATCATGGATGAGGCAAGAAGGCTGAAGAAGGGTGGAGTGGGAGAAATGACCTTTCCCCAGATGGGATAAAGCTCTGGTAAAAGTATTTTCCTCTGGCATGCAGTCTTTGGTTATGTATACCACTCTGAGCATTTCACAATGGTTTCTCTTTCCCTTCCCCTGAAAAAGCGACAAGGAAATATTTCTCTGGTCCTCATTGTAAGAACCTGGTAGGATTTCTAGAGGTAAAAACCCCAAAAGTCAGGGGATATTCTAGGGCAGAGACCCCCAGTAGTTTCTGTCTCTCACATTAGTTTACAGTTGTGATAATTTTCATATAAGAAGAAGAACATATTTGATCTTCACCCCGAGTGTCTAGCACTCGGGGACTTCACCCCGAGTCCTAAAACCCTTGGAATTTCCTAAGTGATAGAGTGAGAGGAATGTCTTTCATTATTTATTATAATTCCTTTTCAACAATACCTGAATTTATACAAATTGCTGACTCTTGGTGGATGGTGGATGGTGGCCGGAGGAATCAGTTACGTGATTAGGCCCACCTCTAGAATTCCATGGAAGGGAGAGGGGCAGGAGATTAGGTCCAATCATCAATGACCAATGATCTAATTGACCATGTTTACATAATGAGATCTTCATTAAAACTTTATGTAATGTGGTTCAGAGGGCTTCTGTGTTGGCAAATACACTCATTCAGATGCTAGGAGGGGTAATGCTTAGAGACAGCACGGAAGCTCCATGCCCCTCCCACCTACGGTGTCCCATGCATCTCTTCAGTTTGCCTACTCCCGAGTCGTGGTTTCTCTTATAATAAATTGGGAATAGTGAGTAAAGTGCCATCCTCAGATGTTTGAGCTATTCTAGTAAATTACCAAAACTGGGAAGGGTAACTCCCAGTTTATAGCTGGTTGGTCAGAAACACAGGTCACAACCTGGGACTTGCACCTGACATCTGAAGCAGGGGCAATATTGTGGGATTGAACCCTTAAGCTGTGGAGTCTGTGCTAACTCTTGGTATTTAGTGTCATAATTGAATTATAAGACGCCCTTTGGTTCCCTGAAAGTTGGAGAATTGCTTAATGTGAGGGAAATTCTCACCAATTTCCTGTCAGATGTGTTTTGTGCAAATAGAGAAAAACAGCTGTTTTCTCTTTTAACACTTTACCTCCAGAAATTTGTAAAAGTTAACATTTAAGTGTTCTTCCCAGGTAATGGATTCAGCAGCTTCTGCTCCAGGTAAAAAGAACTCAGCTGTGGCTCTCTAGAGTCACCTGTTTCTCACGATTTCAGGGCAACACTTTGTATTAAAACTTCAGTCAGTCCAAGAAGTTATTGACATTCAGTTTATTCTGCTTTTTCTTGTTGTAAGAATGAGTGATTTTTTTTTTTTTTTTTTTTTTTGAGACGGAGTCTCGCTCTGTCGCCCAGGCTGGAGTACAGTGGCACGATCTCGGCTCACTGCGACCTCTGTCTCCTGGGTTCAAGCGATTCTCCTGAGTAGCTGGGATTGCAGGGGTGTGCCACCAGGCCTGGCTAAGTTTTGTATTTTTAGTAGAGACGGAGTTTCACCGTGTTGGTCAGGCTGGTCTTGAACTCCTGACCTCGTGATCCTCCTGCCTCGGCCTCCCAAAGTGCTGGGATTGAGTATGATGATTTTTAAGCATTTTATGTGTCAGAACTGAAACCAGAAGTAGTGTTTTTTTTTTTAAGTGCTGACTTAAGATACTGTTTAATCACTGAAGTAAAATGTGCATGTTATCAGCATTATTTAAGTAAGAGCAGATATGTTTGTATCTTTCTGAAACTGTATGTTTTTTATTTTCTTTGAGCAAGCTGTGGAGTCTTCATTTCAGTTACTATTACCTTCATGCATAATTCAGCCACTGCTGATATAGAGATGGCAACTAATTCAAAGGATTCCTCTAGCTTCTAAAACATTCTCTATGAAACTCATTTATGTGGTAGTAGCATGAGGTGCATCTCCTGTTTGTTTTATGTAAATGAAAATCCTAACGTTGAAGCCCACTTATTTGCCATATTACTAACTCTTCAACTATCCAGATAGTTTTGCTGTCCTGCTAGTCTTTCCAGGAAAGCATATATGATAGTTTTTAACAAATGTCCTCAACATTATTTCCCCATGGAATCTGTGACTTGAGATGTTCCAAACTTCTCCATTTTCAAATTTCCACTTTTGATGTATCAAATATATAGACAAGTGCACAAAACATCGATGTTCCACTCAATGAATCAACAGGAAGCTAAACATTTTTGAATTTTTGATTAGTTTATTTATTTTTAAATTAAAATGAATTATTTTTGAGACCAGGTCTCACTGTGTTGTCCAGGCTGGCTTTTAACTCCTGGGACTCAGGTGATCCTCCCGCTTCAGCCTCCAGAATCCCTGGGACTGCAGGTATTTGCCACTGTGTCCAGCTAAACCCTTTTTAATTATCACCAAGGTTAAGAAATCTAATTACATCACCACTCATATACTAAATTAGTATTATACCTGAATTATTTTGTGTTGCTGTAAAAGAATACCTGAAGCTAGTGGTTTATTTAAAAAAAAATTTGGTTCACAATTCTGATGGATAGAAAATTTAAGATTGGGCATCTGCATCTGGTGAGGGTCTCAGGCTGCATCTATTCATGGTGGAGGGTGAAGGGAGCAGGTGTGTGTAGAGATCACATGGGGAGAGAGGAAGCAGGAGAAGTGGGAGTGGGGATGCTTGGCTATATTTAACAACCAGCTCTTGAGGGAACTAAGAGTGAGAGCTAACTCGCCCTGGAGAAAAGGCATTAATCTATTCATTAAGTATCTCCCCACAAACACTTCTCACTAGGCCCCACCTTTAACAGTAGGGATCCGATTTTAACATGAGATTTGGAGAGGACAAACATCCAAACCATCGCTGGTTTGATATTGTTCCTTTAACAATTTAACGAGCCTCTCAAGACTCAAATCAAGATTTATTTCCTCCATGAACTTTCTACCAAAAAGTAAATCCAAGGAAGAGGTGTTTCTAATTAAAATGGATGGATGGATGCTTGTCAAAGACTCACGCTGTCTTCCTCTGAGTGCTTTCAAAGGTTAGTTCTTATAACAAGGATTCTGCCCTTAAATTAATATATAGAACCATGGAGAAACTCTGTTCAGGCTGACTTCATAGTCCACTCTCCAAAGAGGCATGCTAAAGGTGATCTGAGGCGCTAAAAGAAAATGGTAAAATTTCTACTCATGTGTTTCTTTATGACGTTCTATTTTTATATATGTTTTATGATGCACATAAAACATGCACAAAATTATATTGTGTATTAGCAATAGTATGTATAAGATTTATGAATTACAAAATCAATATACAGAGGGCACATGCACAGAATATTTACTGATAGGTATGTGATATTAAAAATCTGGAGAATAATGATGTTCATTACTTGTGTTCTCAATTGAGCTTCATACAGCTAAAGATTCCTATTCTTAAAAAAAAGTGAAATTCTACTGTATTGTATCCTCTCATGTCTGTTCATGATGAAGTCTTTGAAATTTCCTGTGAGGGCTTTGCTACTTATCATCTCTTCCTTGGCTTATGTTTCTCTCTCTGTCTAGAGTCCTCATTCATGTTCCTGTATGTAAAAACAGCACATCATGTTTTTAATTTTTCTAAATTGATATATCAAATATACAGGAAAGTACACAAAATAGATATTTTATTTCAAAAATAAATTAACATAATTTTATTTTATTTAATAAATTCGCAGAAAGCTAAACCCTTTTTAATTATCACCAATCTAATAAAATTACATCATCACTCACATGTCCCCTCCTATTTCTACCACTCACTATTCCCACATTCTCCTGTAAAGTTGTGATTGATTATTCAGAATTCCAACACACATATTCATGGCTCTGCCTGACTACAGCTTACTCATGGTCCACAGTTTCCAACTTCTCTATGTGTGTTCTTTAGCTTTTCCTTTTTCCCTAATCAGCTAAAGAGTCTAACATCTTTGGTTCAAATTCTTCAGAGTAATAATTAAGTTAATTCCTTTCTCCCCTATGTGGGATCAACTTTCAAAAAAAATAAAAGCCCCTTATATGCCATTGATCAGTTTATATGAATTAATTATTCCTGAATTTGATACTGCTTATCAACCAACCATCTGTAGCCCCAGAGGTAAGAACAGGGCAGGCATGGATTGCTTCATTAGAGCAGCCGTTTGTGGAAGTGGTCATTTCCCTCAGAAAAATGCAATGATCAAGGCACACGGCTTGAATAGCCTACTCTGTGCATGTTGTCTCTTGACTAATGAACCAAAATGAGGCATTGATTATACAGTTACACAGTTTTTAATGTTCTCTCTTTAAAAGTGTCTTTTGCTAAACTGAAGTCTCTCTCTTTATGAGATGGGATAAAAGCAACCCATCACAGAAAACTCAGGAATAAATTAAATTATAGGCATACCTTGGGGATATTGTGGGTTTGGTTCCAGACCACTACAATACACAAATATTGCAAAAAAGCAAGTTACACAATTTTGTTGTTTCAGTGCATCTAAAAGTTATGTTTACATTATACTGTAGACTAAGTGTGCAATAGCATTATATCTATAAAAACAATGTGCATACCTGAACTAAAAATACTTTATTGGTAAAAAATGCTAATGGTCATCAGAGTCTTTAAGAAGTCTTAATCTTTTTGCTAATGGAGGGTCTTGTCTAGATGTTGATGGCTGCTAACTAATGAAGGTGGGGTTGCTGAAGGTTGGGGTGGCTTTGTCAATTTCTTAAAATAATACAATAAAGTTTGTTGCATCAATTGACTCTTCCTATCATCAAAGATTTCTCTGTAGCATGTAATGCACTTTGCTAGCATTTTATCCACAGTAGAACCTCTTTTGAAATTAAACTCAATCTTTTAAAACCCTGCCACTGCCTTATAAACTAAGTTTATGGGATATTCTAAATGCTTTTTTGTCATTTCAACCATGTTCATGGCGTCTTCACTACGTGTACATTCCATCTCAATAAGTCACTTTATTTGCTTATCTTCAAGAAGTAACTCTTCATCCATTAATATTTTATCACAAGATTGCAACAATCCAGTCACATGTTCAGGCTCCACTTCTAATTCTAGTTCTCTTGCTATTCCTACCACATCTGGAGTTATTTCTGTCATTGAAGTCTTGAATCACCCAAAGTCATTCAAGAGGTTTGGAATCAACTTCCTCCAGACTCCTGTTAAGTTTGATATTTTGACTTCTTCCCATGGATCACAAATATTCTTAATGACATCAAGAATGTTGTATTTTTTCCAGAAGGTTTTCAATTTACTTTGCTCAGACAGAGAAATCACTATCTATGGTAGCTAGGGCATTAGAAGATTTATTTTTTAAATAATAAGACTTGAAGGTCAAAGTTACTCCTTGATCCATAGTCTGCAAAATGGATGTTGTGTTGGCAGGCATTAAAACAAGACTAATCTCTTTGTACATCTTCATCAGAGCTCTTGAGTGACCAGAAACATTGTCAATGAGCAGTGATCTTTGAAAGGAATCACTTTTTCTGAGTAGCAGGTCTTAACAATGAGCTTACAATATTACAGCAAATAGTCCTATGAACAGATGTGCTGTGACTCTGGCTCTGTTGTTTCATTTCTAGAGCACAGATGGAGGAGCTTTAACATAATTCTTAAGGGATGTAGGATTTTCAGGATGATAAATGACCATTGGCTTTAACTTAAAGTCACTAGCTGCCTCAGCCTCTAATAACAGAGTCAGCCGGTCCTTTGAAGGTGTGAAGCCAGACATTGACTTTTCCTCTCTTGCTATAAAAGTACAAGATGGCATCTTCTTCTAACATAAGCCTCTTTTGTCTACATTGAAAATCTGTTGTTACTGTAGCCATTTTCATCAATGATCTTATATAACTCGCTATAGCTTCTACACCAGCACTTGCTGCTTCAGCTGCACTTTTGTGTTATGGAAACAGCTTTTTCCCTTAAATCTCATGAACCAACCCGTGCTAGGTTCAAACTTTTCTTCTGCAGCTTCCTCACCTCTCTCAACCTTCATAGAATAGAAAAGAGTTAAGGCCTTGTTCTATGTTAGGTTTTGGCTTAAGGGACTGTAGCTGGTTTGATCTCTCCAGACTATTAAAACTTTCTCCTTATCACCAGTAAGGTTGTTTTGCTTTCTTATTTTTACGTTCACTAGAGTAGCACTTTTACTCTTCTTCAATAACTTTTCCTTTGCATTCACAACTTAGCAAACTGTTTGGCACAAGAGACTTAGATTTCAGCCTATCTCAGATTTTGACAGGCCTTCCTGACTAAGCTTAATCATTTCTAGCTTTTTATTTAAAGTGAGAGACATGTGACTCTTCCTTTCATTTGAACACTTAGATGCCATTGTGTTGTTGGCCTAATTGCAACACTGTTGTGTCTCAGGGAATAGGGAGGCCGAAGGAGAGGGAAAGAGATAGAGAAGAGCCTGTTGGTGGAGCACTCAGAACACACACAACTGTTATTGATTAGGTTTGCCATGTCATATGGATGTGGTTTGCGGTCCCCAAAAACAATTACAATAGTAACATTAAAGATCACTGATCACAGATCACCCTAACAGATATAATGAAAATGTTTGAAATATTGTGATAACTACCAAAATGTGACACAGAGACAGGAAATGAGCACAGGCTTTTGGAAAAATGGTGCCAATGGACTTGCTCAATGCAGGGTTGCCACAAACCCTCCATTTGTAAAAATAAAATGCAATATCTTTGAAGTGAAATAAAGGAAATGCAATAAAATGAGGTGTGCTTCATTCTCCAAAGATGCATCATCAACCCTTCTCTCTTTGTATGTGAATGCTTGTCTGACACACAAAGAAACAGAATCTATTCCTCATTGTCCCATGTATCTATGTTTGCCTTATCACTTATTTTGATGAATATAATAAGAGGAAGCCTGGAATCTTCCACTTCTGCTCTTGTTGCAGTCTGCCAAGTAAAATGTCTAAGTACTCAGCAACCACCATAAAAGCCCAAGATAGTGAAGGAGAAGAGGATGTATGGAGAAGTACTGAGATACCGGATGTGTGAGACAAAACTTCTTAGACCTCACAACCTAGGGTAGCCGAATGCAAAAAAGTCAATGCTGCATGGTGCCAAAAAACCATGCATCACAGCCAAGATACCCCCCAAAATCATAGAACATAATAAATGGTTGTTTTACGTCAGTGAGTTTTAGGGTTCTTACACACTAATAAATAATTATGGGCAATGAGTATAGAGAAGACATGATTAAACAGAAGCAAAAATTACCAAAAATATGACCTGAGTGACCGATTGTTCATTGGTAGAGCCAGAAACTATCCAAGCTGAGTCAAGATGAGCCGAGGCATGTTAAGTGACAGAGCCCTTGTTGGGACACACAGCCTATTTCTGGCTAGAATAGTTGTAATTATATGCATATAATACATGATCAAGACTGCTCACATTAATCTCTATACATCTCTACAGCAGGTTTGTTCAGCACTTCTGTTTTACCTCACCACAGTTCATGTATACTTGAACAGCAAGTTCCCCTCACTTCCCACTGACACTCTTAGTACAGGACTAGTGGCTCTGTTCATCTTGCTGACTGCAACAGGGGCCATCAGGGACAAGTGACCATCAGGGACAACAGCAATGAATACTTCTGCATACCACATCCTGATTGCTGAGGGAATTCGATGTGGTCATTGGCCTCTGCCTATGGGCACTTTGTTTTGATGTGTGTCCTCTGCATAGTCTCCTTGAAAGGTGGTTATTAGTTAACCTGTGTCTGGAAGGGATGTGGAGTAGAAAAATGCATATGTCTGATCATCTTTCAAATGTAATCATGCATAAAGTGAGAATTATTTTCTGCACGTGTCTTATACATGACCAGAGCAGACCGTGGAAGAAGCTGGAAGTACCAAGTGGAGGTCTGACAAATGCATCCCGGCCTATTTTAATGTAACTTTAGCAGTATTACTTGGTTATGGTTCCACTTACATCAAGTTCAAAATCAGGCAAAACTAATCTATTGTGTTGGAGGGCAGAATATTGATTTCCTGTGGAGGGGCCATCAACTAGAAGAGGCCCAAGGAGTTTTTAATGGGGCTGGGACAGTTTTCTATGCCTTTACTTGGGCAGCAGTTACACACATGTGTGTGAATGTACAAGCATATTCAGCTGTACATTTAAGAATTTTGACCTTCCTGTATGTAAGTTATATCTTAATTTAAAAATATAATGAAAGATTGAAGAGTCAGTGGAATGGTGCTAAACCAGATGGAGCACCAGGGCAACAGGCACAAAGTCTTATTGCTAAAATCCAGACTGTTTTAAGTGAAGAGTTATCCAGGAATTACGCCCATCTTTCCTATTTATCAAGAAGAGTCACAGAGCTCCAAAAAAGTTTTGTTTATGTTTTTTTCTTAACGATTCATTTCAATTTTTCAGTACCCTACCCAACACAAAAAGGAATTTCTGTCATCTCACATGCAAAAAATAAATGAAAGTCATTATAAGAAAACAATAAATAAACTTTATATATACAGATGTGTTTCATATTATGGAACCCAGAAATACCAAAAATAAAATTGCAAATTTATAAGACAAAAATGTCAGGGCTAATTGGGGATTTACCTATAGTACTACATGGTCATAGGAATTCACTGCCAAGATTATTCATCTTTAAAACAGTATCTAATATTTAGTATTAAAATTATATGTTAAATCTTCTTTATATTAAATGCCTAGAGTAAGATTCATTTACATGTCAAATTGTAGGCACCACTTAATAATTCCAAAGACTTATATATTCTAATACTATAGTTGAATAAAATAAAAAAGAAGGTAACATGGTACTGTGGCCATACTCTGTCATACTGCCTCTGAAAGATGTGGCATGGTGGTAGAGCATGGAAGAGCAACTAGCAAAGTTAGGAGTTAGTGTTTCATTTACATTGCTGTTTTGACAAAAAATGTATTTACTAATAAAAGTACAGCTTCATCTGCACTTCACTGAAGGAAATCATTGTTAATTGATTTTAGATGAGCACATGAAAGTGATGAGTTGCATTAGATGGAGGTCTAAAGTCACATGGAAATTAACAAAACAATTTATTACTGAATAATACTTCATACTGATCAGGCTCTTTATACTTTTCAGAGTATCTGCATTATACACTCTCTCATTGATCTACAAAATAATTGTATGTGACAGACAGGTAGCACTTTGATTTTCACATTTGATGAAAGAGGCTCAAAGGACATTAAGTGAAGTAACTTCACATCCACATGTCTTCTGTCTTGTCAATTATACTGTGTTTTGCGGCTTTTATTGTTATTACCTTTGTTAATGTCATAAATAAAAAAAAGAATGTCTTAAATGAAACAGAAACATCTTCAATCTGACAGCAAAAATACAAATAGGCTTTTGTGCTAATTTATATTCATTCCCATGTTTGTTTGGCACCCAAGTTAAGTTTAAAGTTGTAAACTGTATTTCGGCTTTAAAATAGAAATTTTCTAATTTCTCAAATGACGAGAAGATGATCATGGTGCAAGTCTTACCCGCACTGTTTAATCTAATTCCTGATTAATTATTTCACTGGCATCCCTGTCAACTTGAGAATCTATTCCCACTGAATGTAGTAAAGTTGATCTATCTGCTAACTGACGAAACTCTGGAAACAGAGAATTCTGGACCTTGAATAATGTCTCAAAATCTATGGGAATCAATGCTGCTTGCTTCTTCAAATACTATCACAGACCAACATACAAGAAGCTGAGGACAGAGGTAATATCCCTGAAGAAACTTGTCCAATTAGTGGTGCAATAAATATTTGAAAGAGTTTGTTTTAGGATGGAGACCAGAGTCCAGGGGTTGAAGTTTAAATTCTGACACCACCTTGGAAGACCCCATGAGTTACCTCCTCTCTCAGCCATCTGTAAAGTGTAGGTATATTAATAATTATTAATAATTACTTGTAAGATTACTGAAAGGATTGAGTGAAGGATGTATGCAAAATGTCTAGAACACTCTAGAAGTGATACCTGTTATAGCAGGTGGAATAGAAACTTTAACTGTAGTAGGTATAAAATAAACATACTTCAGGTAATAAAGGATGGAAATTGTTGGTTCAAGGACAAAAGGAAGATCAACCATTTCCCAGGCCTTTCTCTTGCTACCCTGAAATGATTGAATAATCTGTGTTTCCAGAATGTTGTGTTTGCATAGCCATCTGATTGCAAGTATCAAGTAATTACAAAATGACTATGTTAATGGAAGATTTTCTTCACTTTTTAAAAAGTAAGGTTTTCACATTTTGCATCTAAATTCATTGATTATGCATAAAGAGGTCAGGAAAGCCTTGTGGCTTTATTAAATTGATCAGCATCTAATAACTTAATTATCTACAGAAACAGATGTTACTTCAATCTGAAAACAAATTGTCTTGTACACAGGGAAGAAAATTAAAGTATCGAATACTGTGGAGATTTATAAAATGATCATATTGAGGCTAAAAGGAGAAAGAAACAACAAAACATCAGGGCTCCTGATTCAGGCTCAACACTATTTAATGTTTTCTAAATTATTTTCATCTTGAATTTTTTTTTGTATATATATATATATATATAAATTTTTAAAATATATATATACATATATATATAAAATTTTAAAATATATATATACATATATATATAAAATTTTAAAATATATCTATCTCATTTGACTCCAGCTTAAGAGTTTGTGCCTGCACCCTGCTCCCATCCCAACACACACATGCCCCAGGACCTTGATGCTATGAGATCCAGAAGGAGATTTTGTCTTCTGTTTTTCAGTACTTTTGTCTTTCAGATTTCTGACTGAATTGTGATTTTTCTTATCCTGGGAATGAAAGCAGCACTTCCTAGCTCTGTTCATCTCTTTGAAAATAAAATCTTTGCCTATGAATAACCTCTAACTCAAAGAGTTACTCAGATATGTTTTTCTTTTTTCTTTTTTCTTTTCCTTCTCCCTTCCTTTTCTCCTTCCTTCCTTCCTTCCCTCCCTCCTTCCCTCTGTCCCTCCTTCCTTCCCTCCCTCCTTCCCTCTGTCCCTCCTTCCTTCCCTCCCTCCTTCCCTCTGTCCCTCCTTCCTTCCCTCCCTCCTTCCCTCTGTCCCTCCTTCCTTCCCTCCCTCCCTCCCCTCCCCTCCCTTCCTCTCCTCTTCCTTTTTATTCCCTAGTGTTCACTGCTTTTTTTCTTAGAGCACGTGCTTCCAGGTCGCCTCTTGTGTTGCTTGCTGTCTCAGCATCTGACTCATTGTTAACCTGCATTTTCTTAGCCAGGTCAAGCCCACGTGGCCAGGCCACTTTTCTTTGGCCTTGGCTTTCCTTTGACCCTGAGTTGGGCTCACCCTATGGTAGTGAAGCCTTGATTTGCCATGGAGAAATGCCTCTTTCTTCATGACCTGGGTCCAGAGCCCTCTAGCTTGATAATATCAAACTTTACTTCCATGTTCAGGAAGTGTCTACTGGGTTTGTCTTAGATTCAGTAGGTGAAACTGGAATTTTTCTATGATTCACAGATTATAGTCATAAAACACAAGAAGTTGAAGTTGAAAATGATCTTAGATAAATTGCTTTTCTAGATCCCCTATTATAGATAAAGAATGGAGGTCATATTATGGTAAGTGATGGATCTGAGGTCATAGAAAGGAAGACAGAGGCTGTCAGAATTAGAGCCTGGAAATGCCATACCTGAGTAGATTGAGAGGAAGGAGCTGAGTTTGGGAGGACACCTGCAGGACCAGGTATTGAGGAGGATGGTGATGCAGGACGTGGAGCCAGCTACACCAGCACACAGAATTCAAGGCCACCGATGAAGGCAAAGATAGGCAGAGGGGCACCAAATGGCACATCAGGGGAGGAGAGGAGGGATGGTCCATGGGCAGGTCAGTATCTGGAGCTCAGTGGAGGTTAGAGGAAGCAGAAGGACTGTGCCTATCTTTCTCTTCATTGATTTTTATAATAGCTATGACTTCCTGAGAAGTTATGAAACATTGTTCTAAGCCCCTAATTTGTATGAATTCATTTATCCTTGCAACAAACCTGTGGGCGACACTTTTCTTATCTTCATTTTACAGATGAGGGATTTGAGGCATAGAGTGGAAGTGGGTTGCGCAAACCTTACAACATGCCTATGGGCAAGACAGGGCTCTTTCCAGGCAAACAGCCTTCAGAGTCTCAGCCTTTAACCAAACCATGGTGCTTCCCCTCTGTATCCCAATGCCAGAACTGGTGTCTGGCATTTAGCAAATGTTCAGGGTCAGTTGTTGCATCTGACATTAAAGGGATCCATGGTTTAGCTTCTGTGAAGCTGGAAATTGTATTAGCTACTCAAGCCCATGTCAAATCCCTCTGCACAACTCTCCCTCCCCATTCGATGCTGTAAATATGGAATGGAGACATAATCAACTGCCATCTAGACTGCCAGCCTGCAACCAATTGACAGAGGCAGAGCAGACAGGTGACTCTGCAGCTTGCAGGTTATCTGAGTTGACTATCATCATTCTCACTGGTGGATATGGGCTGAAAAGGAGAATCAAGTGCTATATGAGATACTTTTTATTCCTTTACTCTATTTTTATTATTTATTTATTTATTTGTTTGGTTTTGGTCTTCTGATTGGTTCCTGGTAACTGGGCCATGAGAGGGCCAGAATTTCTATCTCCTCCATTTGTGTTTCTTACACATAAGTTGGAAAGATTTTCTACACTTTATACATGGCCCATGGGGGCCATCAGAGCCCAGATCTCTTATCCCTTGGGGCTCAGTAGTGAAGAACAAGCCTTAACTCTCTGGAGGCTTACAGATCAGCACTGGACTTCTGAGCTGTTGTTGGAATCCTCTTCACACCCACAGATAAATACGCCGAGGGAAATCTCGAAGAATCAAGACAAGTCAGTCAGTCTGCTTTCAAGGAGAGAACACCTTTTCTTAAGTGTTAGTGACCAGTTGGAGAAAGTGTTCCACAAATCTCCTGCCCATTTTGTAGGAAGAAGTACGATCTTATTGGCAATGCCTGCCTTGCAAGACTTTCAACTTCTCAAAGTCAGAAACACTGGACCAAACATGCGTGGTCACATACAGAACTGTTCCTGAGCTGAATTGGGAAGTTAAGTTGTTCTTGATTATCTTGTTATCAGACAGGTAGAAGGCATTCGGTAACTGTCATATTGCTTGCGCTAATAATTTCAAACATATTTCCAATTCCGCCACACAGGTTCAATAATCCTCATCAGCTTGCTGTGAATTAGGTATCATTATTCCCATTTTCAGATAAGCCTCAGAGGGACTAATTTATCCAGTGTTACACAGCGAGTAATTACTGGACTTTTTATTCTGCTTCTGTTCCTGTTTTGCCATCTTGACCCCACTGCATTGATGCTGCCCCGCTGTTTTGCATTTTAATTCATTTCTGAGCATGTGCGCACCCTCTGAATCCACCATAGACCTCATCTCCTGGGTGTTGCTCCCAGCGTGCTCTAAATCCGAACATCGTAATGCTGAGCTTGTATAAGATGTAGGGGTTGAATTATTTGTTAAATGAGCTAATTTCATAATCAAGCCAGGAAGAAGGCCACAGAGACACATCAGCACCGGAAGTGTGTCTATGAGGACACATATTTTTAACACTCTGCAGGCTAAGCTATCACGTGGTCACTGCTTTCCTCTCATCTTTTTTGCATGGACTTTCTTGCTTGATTTTTAGACAGACAGATGTAAAGAAACATAGTTTCTTTCCTCTTCAGATACTGTTGAAGGGTTTTGAATTCTAAAATACTATTTAATGGTAGCAGTAAGTAAAGAAAGTCTAGGAAGATGAACAGCCTGACACTCTGAAAAAGTATCATTTGTTCATTAATTCACTTGCTCTTTCATCTAGTCTTTCCACAAATGATTCTGAATGCTTAACACACCAAAGGCTCTGAGCAAGGAACTGAGGCTACAGGGATGAGTGTGCTTTTCATCCTTCTCATCCCCAAAATGAGTCTAGAGACAAATGGGGGAGGGAAACACAAAAATGAGTATCACAGCACCATGGTTACATTAGGGAGGAGGCCCAGAGTGTCATGGAACACCAAACACAAAGTAAGGGGCCCAAGAAATTTTTTTCAGAAGACATGAAGGTAGAATTAAATTTTTAAGGAAGTAAAAAATACACATTATAGCATCTTAAGAGAAGACAACGCACTACACAGGGCAAAGGAATCTGAGAGGATTTGGGGTCATCCCAAGCTGTTCCATGCATATGTTATTGGGGGTGATGGATGTGAGTGTTCATGGAAGGGAGAACTGCAAGGTTTGGGCATTTTGTAGAGATGTTACCTTGAAGGATCTCATCAGAGGAGAAACAGGATAATGCAGAGAGGGGCATGATCGAGGGGGCTGGGTGGATGTTTGGATTTCTATAAACAAATGTTTCCAAAAGTAGTAATGCTATGTAATGGGACCAGGGTTATACAGTCACTCACTTGTGACCAGTATCAAAGTTTTGTTATCACTCCCAACATCAGACATTCCAAAACTCCAAAAAATCCTGATCAAAGAAACTTTCAACTTATTGTTTAAAAAATAGCAATAAAAAAATTCAAAGTAGTATTACATTTTGCTCTGACTGGTTAGAACTGCAGTGAAATGTAGTCTACAAGGACATTTTTTAGCTTACAATTTTCACAGTTATTTTGCATTACATTTATCTCCACATTCTTTCAGCTAACCTATATGTTACATCATAGCAGACAGGGTCAAATGGATCATAGATTCACATGTAAGAAAAGCAGGAACCCTCCAGAGAGCATAATGATTTGTTCCAGTAAGATGGAGTGGGAAAGGGAGAGGAAAGAGGTGTTACGGAGTATTAGCCAACGCTGCTCAATAATTTACCAATCAATTAAAATGGCATTATTATTCTCCTTTGACACTTAGCTTCTGTGATATTTAAAGGTCACATGGGCACTACTGGGGAGGACAGCTATTAGCAGATACGTGAAAATAGCATTTCTGATCTCTGGAACAGGGTGTCAAGGTAATTTGTGTCCTAGCTCAAGTTACTCTCATCAGCACACAAGGGCAGATGTTTGACTAATCTAGTATACCAAAAGAAGTAAGAAGGTAAAAAATGCTCAAAACCCTGATGAGCGTATGGATAATCAGACAGGCAAAGTGACGTATGCTATTACACAAACTTTTGGATTCTTTCAATTGAGGCCAGAAGATTTTAGGATGCTCTGTCTAGATTGATTGTGACATTTATATTAACCAGATTCTAACCAAGGATGAAGGACTTATTTGAGATAACAAACATTTTAGCTGCAATTACAAATAATTTCTCAATTGCTAAATAATGATTAGCTTTTATCGAACATTTAATATTTATCAAAAGCTGTGTGAGATGCTTTGTATACATAATAGCATTTATGGTAATAACAAAATAAGCAATTGAGTGTATCATCCCCATTTTTTAGACAGGAAAACTGAGTTAGAGATGCTAAGTAGCATGTTTGAAGTCTCACAGGCCATAAATGGTGTAGCCTTGGTCCACCATTCTTAACACTTCACAACTCCTTTAATTATTCACTTGTGTTGGTCTGTTACTTCTTTTTGTCCCCCTCATATGTTCTGAATTTTACTAGCTGGCTATAGTGCAGGTGAACTGGGCCTTTTATGTTTTATTTATTTAACAGAACACTAATTCACTGCTGGGTATGCAGCCTTTAGGAAAGGCTCATAGAGAATATTCATGAATATTTTAATTTCTACTTTGAAAGACTGATCAGTGATGTAAGTGGTGTTTTTTCCTCACATTCAAATACTTCTTTCCTATTCCTCAGTTTTGGTTTAAAAAATTTTGACATATACTGAACTATTACTAAGAGATGGCTTAATTTGAAAGTTTGGGGCTGTCTCTGTGTGAACATCTATTTCAACTCTGGTCAGCAAGATACTCTGATCATTCATCAAATAGCAAGTCAGTCATGGCATAGTCATCGATCATTGCATTGAATTATCTTTTAGCCAAAGGGTTCACCTGCTGAGGTGTCCATCTATTCAGAAACACAACCTGAAATACCCCTTTAGTTCAGTAGGTTCCCATAAGGATGGGATCTGTGAGCCCAGGAAAGCAGCATCAGCCACAAAGTTGTGAGGAAAGAGTGAGACACAGATCCTTCATCCAATCTGGTGTCCCTTGTTTTTCAATCCTCTGTTCATTTTACAACTCTGTCTGCTCAGGACCTTTTCTTCACAGCAGTAACATTGAGAGGAAGCCATGGTAGAGACAAAGACTCTTCTTTATGGTACAGAAGACTTGGAATGATGAGAATGAGTTTGAGACTCAGCTCTACTCATTCAGGGCTTTGTGAGTTGGTGCAAGCCACCTCTCAGGCTGAGCCATGTATAATGTATAATGTAAAATAGATTTTCAGTGATACGCATCTTACCTTTACCCTTTAGATTTTTCTGGATGATAACATTTTACAGTAATCCACATGGTCCTCTTTTGCTGCCTGATCTCTCACGTTCTTTCCTAAGTTATTGTGGGGGGGCCTGCAAAACACAAGCATTGAACATGAAAGTTGTTCTTAAGCACAATCTTGATATTATACTTTTTTATCTGTAATTGCAAATTCAGCATATCTCTGTTTTATCACACTAATGATTAATGTGCATGTATAATGTACATGTATTTAGTGTACATGTATCATGTCAAGCTTACAGGTTTTATTAAAGGGTTAAATGAGATAAATAATAAGGTACATGGTGCTTTTCTTTATATAACTTGGATCCCAATTATACTGAACGAATCTGAGTTCTCTGGAGTTGTTTTCATCCTTGTCCTCAGTCCCCTTACATATATTGTTTCTACAGCCTCAAAGTCCTTTCCCTGCTTAACCTGCTAATAACAGGACCAAGCAGATTGTGAATGAACTGTCAGTTTTTGGAGGATAGAGGGAAATTACCAAAAGTTCTAAAAAAGTCTTAAAAAACTCCTCTATTCTGTTTCTTTCACATATTCATGAAATATTAAAAGCAGCTGGTAGAGATTTTTGTCAAGAAATAATTGGATATTTATCATCTTATCGTTAATAAGTTTGGTTTTCTTATCACAATATTTTAATTAACATTTAAAAATCCTCATTACACAGTATTTTAAATTGTAACTGAAATTGTCTATGTGGAGTGCCTCTGCCATTTAAGGGTGAACGTAGGAACTTGGGAAATCATTTGAGTTTCTAATTGAAAAATAATCGGGTTTAAAATAAGCAAATTATAATAATCATTAGTGTGATAAAACAGAGATTTATGCTGAATTTGCAATTACAGATAAAAAAGTATAATATCAAGATTGTGCTTAAGAACAACTTTCCTGTTCAATGCTTGTGTTTTGCAGGGCCCCCCACAATAACTTAGGAAAGAATGTGAGAGATCAGGCAGCAAAAGAGGACCATGTGGATTACTGTAAAATGTTACCCAGAAAAACCTAAAGGGTAAAGATAAGATGCGTATCACTGAAAATTTATTTTTGAGCAAATAAGGACCGTATTATTGCCTAATGTCAGACAGATTTGAGGTGAAGCTTCTGAAGGAAACTCCCATCACCAGCCCATTTCCATGTCACTCTGTTGTAACAAGGATTGCAGTGTCTTTCTTCTGTTCCTTGATCCAGAGAGTGCCCATCGCACCATCTTTTTTCCCCAATAACAGTTTTATTGAAATATAATTCACATACCCTGAAGTTCACCCTTTTAAAGTGTATGATTCAATGGTTTTTAGTGTATTCACAGAAGTGGACAACCATCACCACTATCAAATTTCGGAACATTCTCATCATTCCAGAAAGAAGCCTGTACACGTTGGCATACATTCCCAACTTACCCCTTCCTCCATCTCCTGGAAACCAGTGATCTACATTGTGTATCTAGAGACTTGCCTATTCTGGCCATTCAATATAAATGAGATCATTCATTGCATGTCCCATACGTGGCTTCTGTCCTTTAGCATAATATTTTCAACGTTGGCTCATGTTGCAGTGTGTATCAGTGCTTCATTCCTTTTTATTACTAAATAACATTCTATGGTATGGATAGATCATATTTTATTTAAGTATTTATTAGTTGATAGGCATTTGGGTTTTTCTACTTTTAACTGTTAAGAATAATGCTGTTAGGAACATTCGTGTACAGGGTTTGTATAAACATATACTTTCAATTCTCTCAGGTGTAAGTCTAGGAGTGAAATTGGTACGTGATATGATAACACCCTGTTCTTGACATTTTCAGAAATTGTTGAACTGTTTTCTAAAATGGCTGCACAATTTTACAATTCCAACAGGAATATTTGAGGCTTCCAATTTCTCCACATCTTTCATATCATATAGTGTCATCTTTTTTATTTTAGTCGCTATGGTGATTGTGAAGAGATAGCTCACTGTGATTTTGATTTGCATTTCCCTAATGACTAATAAAATGGTATTGAGAATCTTTTCTTGCGATCGTTGGTCATTTGTATATCTTCTTTGAAGAGCTGTCTATTCAAATACTTTACTCGTTGCTTAACTGGGTTACTTGCAATTATCTTTTGGCTAATGAGTTCATCAGCTGGGAGTGTCCATCTAGATAGAAATGTAACCTGTTTTTTTCTTGATACCTTATCCTTACCAAGTGTATGATTTGCATATACTTTCTCTCATTCTGTAGGTTGTTTTTTACTTTCCTGATTGTGCAGCACAGTTTTTCAAAACATTTTAATCAAACCTAATTGATCTACTTCTTTTGGGTCACTTGGGCATTTGATATCTATCATTCATTAAGAAATTATTGCCTAATCTGAGGTCACAACAATTTACAGCTATGTTTTTGTTTTTTCTAAAATTGTACTTTAAATTTTGCATTGACATTTATGTCTATGAGCCATTTTGAGTTATTTCTGCATATGACTTAAGGTGGGGGTTCAGCTTCATTGATTTCTAAGTAAATATCTACTTGTCTCAACACTATTTCTTAAAAAGACTATTTTTCCCCATTTAATTGCCTTGATATCCTTGTTTAAAATCAATTGACCATTATATAGTAGTTTATTTCTGGCTTCCAAATTATATTTGACTATATTTATATAGCCTTATACAAGTACCACACTTTCTTGGTTATTGTAGCTTTTCAGCTTTTTAAGTTTTAAAATCAGGTTGTGTGGGTTGTCTAAATATATTGTTTTTCAAGATTGTTCTGGCTATTTTGGGTCCATTGCATTTTCATATTTTTTTCTATATAGATAGGTTACTCTGTATGAGAAGATCAGCTGAGATTTTGATAGGGATTGTGTTGAATCTGTAGATTTGTTTTGGATAATTGACATCTTAACAATATTCTTATGATCCATAAATATGGGATATCTCCAGTTATTTAGGTCTTATTTATTTCAACACTATTTTGTAGTCTTCATTGTACAAGTCTTGTACTTGTGAAATGTATTATCAAGTGTTTCATCTTTTTAGATATATTGTAAATGCAACTATTTTTAAAAATTCATTTTTGGTTGTTTATTGCTTGTGTATGGAAATACAATTGGTTTTTGTATATTGATCTTTTATCCTGCAGCCTTACTGAATTCATTTATTAAGTTCCAACAGGTTGTTTTATGCTCACTAACATTTTCTGTATATGTAAGATCATGTCTTATATACGGACCTATCTGCAAGTAAAGACAGTTTTGATTCTCCTTTCCAATATTTATTTATTTTATTGTCTTTTGTTGAATAGAAATGAGAGTGGATAATCTTGTCTTGCTCCTGATATTAACATTAGTGTTTATACCAGCATTTCCTGTTTCTTGCCTGTCTCATGATTTTTGTTGAAAAATAGACATTTAAATAGTGTAATTTGGCAAGTCTGGAAATCAAAATTCCTCCCTATCTCCAGGATTTGTTATTGTTGCTTTTTTTTAAAGTGACTTTTGAGTCAATTCTGTAAAGCCTGTATTCTTTTTCATGTGTGGCCACTCTAGTCTCTACTCAGTTAACTTAGGTGACAGCAAATTACTGGACAGAGATTTTGTTAAAAGTCTCACTTGACTCAATCTCTCATCATTTGCTTAGAGCCTTTGTGTGCATATTGGGGCAAACTGCAACACTGGTGGTTTAGAATCCTGCCTTAGAATTCACTTCCTACTTGCAAAGAACTTTAAAGTCACTCTGGTGAGACTTAGGGCCTTCTCCCAGGCATGCAAGCAACCTATGCATGTGCCTGGCCTTCTAGATTTTCAGAAATATGTTGGAGCTTTCCAAAGTTTCCTATGAATAGCTCTTTCTCTGGCTCGCCTTCTAAGTTGTTAGTCATGCTTTTGTTTGATCCAATTTTTATCATCAACTCAGGCAGCTCTCATGTTAAATAATTGCCTCTTATATTGCCAAATATATATACATATATATATGTATATATATATGTGTGTGTGTATATATATATGTATATATATATACACCGTGGAGAAGTAGCTGTTGTCACTGAGCAACAGTCAGTTCTAAGTAAAATCAAATAAACACGATCTTGTGTATGTGCGTGTGTGTTGGGGATTTCCAAGGAGCTGCCAGTTAGGTCAAATAATGACAATTTTCTGATAATAAAACTTTTTTGGAGCTCCACATCCCTCTGTCCATGACAGTTGCCACCAGGCTGCTAGTTTTCACCATAACTGAGAGGCTGTTGGTTTTCAAGGTGACTGAGTAGTTGGGGAGAGTAAGATGGGAATGAGATGAGCTGAAAGATGATAAAGCTCACTGAGACTCAGCCACTTGTTTTGAACAAACACTCCTTAGGTTGTTTCAAGTCTTTTGTTAATTTGCAGAGTTCTGAGAAAGTTAATTTTGACAACTCAATAGTAAGAAAACAAATAATCCAGTTAAAAAAATGGACAAAAGATCTGCGTAGACATTTCTCTAAAAAAGGCATACCAATGGCCAAAAGGTATGTGAAAAAAAAATGCTTCTCACTAATAACAGGGAAATGAAAATTAAAATTATAATGAGATAATAAGATTTCATCTCAATTGTATTAGAATGGCTGTTATAAATATGACAAAAGATAACAAGTGTTTGAAAGGGTGTAGAAAAAAGGGAACCTTTGTGCACTGTTGGTTGGAAGGCAAATAAACACAGGCATTATGGAAAACAGTATGGTGGTTCCTCAAAGAATTAAAAATAGGACTATTATATGATCCAGCAATCTCACTATGGGATTTATTTTGAAAGGATATGAAATCAGTATTTTAAAGGGATATCCACACTCCCATATTCATTGCAGTATTATTCAAAACAATCAAGATATGGAACCAACCTAAGTGTCCATCAACAGGTAAATTGATAAAGAAAATGTGGTAAATGTACACAAAGGAATGCAATTCAGCCTTTAAAAAGAAGGAAATCCTGACATTTTCTACAGCATGGATGAAACTGGAGGACATTATACTAAGTGAAATAGACCAAGCACGGAAAGACAAATACTGCACCATTTCACTTATATATGGAGTGTCAAAAAGTCAAACTCAGAGACAGAGTAAAGTGATAGTTACCATAGGCTGCGGTAGTGGGAATAGGGAGATGTTGGTTAAAGGGTACGAAATTTCACTTAGTGGGAATAACTTCAAGAGATCTATTGTACATCACAGTGACTGCAGTTTGTAACAAAATAGAGTATATCTGAAAATTTCTAAGACAGTAGATTTTAAGTATTGTTACCATACACAAAAGATGAGAAGTATGTGAAGGATGTATTTGTAAAATAGCTTGGTATTGCCTTTCCACAATGTATACATATGTCAAGAAAGCATGTTGTATACCATATATATATGTATAGCTATATAATTATATATAACTATATATGTAATTTTTACTTGCAAGTTAAACACATAAATCAATAATTTTTAAAGTTGATTTTTTAATGGACAATTGTTGCCACTGTCTTTATTGCTTTCATGGATGATCAGATTTTTGGTGGTCCTTACTCTAACATTCTGAAAGTGCTTCTCACTCACAAAGTCTTTTTTAAAAATATGTTTTATGTAAAAACCATCTTATTGTTTCTGTAAACATGGCATATACTTTTCTAAATGATTCAAACTATACCAAAAAATACCGTGAAAAAAACTAAAAATTGCCTCAAATTGTATTAGGCAGAGCTCAGTAAAGCTCACATTTTCATGAGATTCTATTTAGAGACATCTCTAGGCACATATATACATATGTATATAATTTTACAAAATAATATTAGTTCTACATGAGCTTTACAATTTGCATTTTAAAAATTTAACAAGGTATAGGTATTTTTAATGGTTTCTTTGTATTCCAGTGTGTATGCTTGTGTGTATGTGATAGATGTGAGTATATGCACACTGACTGGTATGTGTGTGGCTTAATTTATGCAATCAGTCTATTATTGAAAGACATTTAAAGTATCTCCAAAGTTTTGTTATGATGAGCAAAATTTCAGTAAATTTTTCCCTTTCCTTTCCTTTCCTTTCTCCTTTCCTTTCTTCTTTCCTTTCCTTTCTCCTTTCCTTTCCTTTCTCCTTTCTTTTCCTTTCTCCTTTCCTTTCCTTTCCCCTTTCCTTTCCTTTCTCCTTTCCTTTCCTTTCTTTTCCTTTCCTTTCCTTTTTCCTTTTCTTTCCTTTTTCCTTTTCTTTCCTTTTTCCTTTTCTTTTTTCTTTTTTTTATTTTGGACAGTTTTGCTCTTGTTGCCCAGGCTGGAGTGCAATGGCATGATCTTGGCTCACCGAAACCTCTGCCTCCCAGGTTAGAGCGATTCTCCTGCCTCAGCCTCCTGAGTAGCTGGGATTACATGCATGAGCCACCACGCTCGGCTAATTTTGTATTTTTAGTAGAGACGGGGTTTCTCCATGTTGATCAGGCTGATCTCGAACTGCCGACCTCTGGTGATCCACCTGCCTTGGCCTCCCAAAGTGCTGGGATTACAGGCGGGAGCCACATCACCTGGCCAATTTTTCTTTTTTTCATACTTTTATTTTAAGTTCAGGGGTACATGTGAAGGTTTGTTACATAGACAAACGTGTGTCATGGTGGTTTGTTGAACAGATTTTAGCATCTGCATCCTGCATTTGCTTTCCTTTGTCTTCCATATCCCTGCTGTAGGAATTTATGTGAAATCTAGTCTTTTTGTGTAAAATGTTAGATGTGAGAGAAGTAGCGATATGGAACTAATATCACTGGACATTTAAAACTCTGAATGTCCAGCTGGAAAACTGGTGGTTGAGATAGTCTTGAAAAGGCAGATCTCTTAATGAAGATGTTAAAAGTTTTAACAGATCCCTTGAAATGCAGTTATGGAAATCTTCATTCCCTGCCTTTTTGCTAATAATATCAGCTGCTCACAGCAGAATAGGAGCTGCAGTAGTGATAAGGAGTTGTCAATGTGTAGAATATTTTTTAGGAAAACATTGTAATGATATTCACAAAATCTCACCGGAAGGTTTTCTCTTTATTTATGGCTTGATTCTGTGTCAAGTCAACTTCCAGGTACCAACATAGTCAAGAGGACAGTGAAATCTGCTGAGACTGGAAAGGCAATTGGCTGTCTCCAGAGCTCCATGTGATTACTAGAATGGCCATGTCATTGAGGGGGAAGGAGAAATGTGCTGCTCCTTGGAGTTCCATAACAGAGCCAAGCTGAGGCCTCTGCTAGTTACTTGTCATGTGATCCTGGAGAAACTCCTTACATTTTTTTATGTCTCAGTTCCTTGATCTGTGCAATAACCGTATGTCCCATATATCCAAAATTAAAAAATAATAAAAATGCCTATCAGAGCTTCTTATATCATGGGACAACCTACACTACCCACTGTACTGGTGCTTGGGACACCCGGAGCAAAGGAACTTGACCTTGTCTGTATTGTTGGGCTTCTGCCTCTCACCAATCCCCAAACACTACTCTTAGAAATATATTTTTTTCCTTTTATTTTTAGGTGACACATAATAATTATATATATTTATGAGATATAGAGTGATATGTCAATCTATGTACGCAATGTGTAAGGATCAAATCAGGGCATTTGGCATAGCATAGTCATCACCTTGAACATTTATCATTTCTTTGTGATATGAACATTCAAAGTTCTCTCTTGTAGCTTTTTAAAAATATACACTAAATTATTGTTAACCATGTTTACCTTACATTGCTACTGAAACTAGGCCTTGTCCAATAAATATGTTGCATCATTTATTTCACTGAACCTGTCTGTCTTCTCCCTGAGCTACTGTTTGTCCCTTGATCTTGATCTTTCTTGGAAATCCATTATCCTAACAGCTTTGGCAACATACCCTCTGGAGGTCTCAGCCTATATTCCACAGTCCTTTTTCTCTCTTTACCTCTGTATTTATGGATTCTCTACACTCTACTCATGGCTGTCTTAATGTTCATCTTTTTGTTCATCTTTTTTTTTTTTTTCTGGACGAGCGCAAAAGCTCTCACAATTTAGACTACCAATTAATTGTGTTGATGACTTTTACATATCTATATCTGATCTTTACATCCATTTGGCTAATTTGCAGAGACCTCAGGCTCATCCTGCTTTAGACAGAACAATTACCTGTTTCTGTCCATCCTCATTTGCATTGTTTCTTGTCTGAGCACCTGACCATTTACCCAGTCGCCCAGCCAGAAAACCACAGGTTGCCTCACACTTCTTGTCCCTTTAGCCATATCAAGTTTAACACCAAATCTTAATCCCCAAGTTACTCTAGTGTTTCTTAAATAAATCACATCTTGTCTACTATTTATTGCTGCCAGAGTGATCCCTCTAAAAGATAAATCTGTCATGCCATATCTCTGTTGAAAATCACCAATGGCAAATAAAATTTATGCATTTAAGTCCCTGCTGGTTAGGTCCAGCCATTCCATTTTCACCCTGGCCTCAAAATCTCATGCAAACTATGTGAAATTGTGACAAGTGCTGTTTACGGAGAAGACTTAGTGAGATGGACTATGTGGTTATGGACACGAGAGAAAGGTTTCCTGAGAAAATCACATGTGAGCTTAAATCTATAGCTGAGTAGAAATTAATTAAGTGAAGTGTAGAAGGTGGTTTGTAGGAGTAGGGTAGGCATTCTGAGTAAAAGAAACAACATTTGCACATTTGCATAGGGTTTTTCTATGGCCAGAGGAGTTTGACTTTTGCAAAGAACTTAGAGAAGGCTGGTGAGGCTGGCATCCAAGTGAAAGGAAAAGAATGCCATCAGAGGAAGCTGCTTAAAAAATCAGAAGGTTGTTATTATTGCTATACATTTCAGTCCTTAAAATTACACAACCCAAAAACTGAAATTCAATTCAGATCCTTTGGTTCAAAATGAAGACGATGTAGTAATATCCCAATTACAGTATCATAAAGCAATACTTATATAGTCCCATATTCACTTATTTATGTATAGTATGTCAAATACAGTACTTTTAAGGGCAATTATTATATCAGTTACACATGAAGGAAGAGAAAAACGATTGCAATTCAAGTGCTTAGTGAAATAGTGGGTTTTGGCAAAACTATATGTACAAAATAATTAACAAATATAATATATCTGAATAGCCAACTGAGTCAGATCCTCACCATAAAGTCACACTAGAGGATTTTATATAAATGATCATACTTCCATCTAGGATGATTTTCAAAAAGTGGGTAACACATCGGTGACAAACACTACAGTAAGGTCTCCAGTCAAGGCTGAACAAAGTGGGGCAAAGTCTCCCAAACTCCATTTTCATAAAAATGTCAACAGAAAAGAAGCATCAGTGATAAATCTGGGTTCATATCCTATTACAGGAGGAAAACAACCAGTTTTACATCTTGTACAAACACTTTCAATCACCTTTTATGGCCATGTAGCTGCCGCATTTGGCAATTAAAAAATTATAACATGTAGATTTCAATAACAATCCATAAGTGCTGGAGTCGAGATTGTTTGTGGTGCCATATTTCATTCAGAGCTGAGTAGAGGAAGGTGGCTGTGGTTTAAAGGTCACAGAAAACTACATCTCCTCAAGCTACACTTTAAAGGCACAACTGAAAGTATATTCTATTTAGATAGCTATTTGGATAATTAGATATGTCCAATCAGTGGGAGAAACCCACAAAAACAATCATTAGATGAGAAAATGCTCACATTTAAAATGCACCGTTGTCAGAAAGAAAGAAAATGATTTTTGTTTTCAAAGCAACTGGAGTTTGGGGAAAAGTGCTGAAAAATCAATTTATTTTCAAAGGAATGGGCTAGACTGATTATGCATTTGTTAGTTCCATCGGCACTGTTTGACTACAATATGGATGTATTGATTTCCATGCATATGCGTTATGTCTTTTTCTTACACAGAAAATTTGGTGTTCACAAAAAAGAGATGAGATTTTTTTGTTGTTAAAAAAAAATTAAACTTTACACCTTCATCTCCTTAAGTTATTTTCCTTCTGAGCTTAATAAATTATTTGTGATTTATTGGGGAATATTTGCCCAGGAAAATTAATTCCAGCAGAGGGTCAGACCTCAAACCCCGAATTTTACAGCTTTGCCTTTAGAGGTAGTTTTGGAAAAGAAAGCAAAGAAAGGCAGAAGTCACTGCACAGGGCCCTCCTCTAAAGCATGTTCAGACCAGGTGAGCGTTTTGAATATTATGATTCTATAAAATAGAAAAAGAGTTTTTTGGTCTCTTTAATATTCTGTTTTGAGGCCCTTCACTAAGATCTTTGTGTCCTCCTTGTACTCACCCCAGATCTCCATGTGCCCTGAATTTTGTCCCTACCCATGACAAAGATTCTTTGGCCAATTTGACTCAGGCTCTTGAATCTTGTCCTATGCCTATCTGTCCACTTCCTTATAAAACAGCAAAGAACTCTGTTATGTCAGTTTAGCAAGTACTTCCCATCCTTGATATTTGATCAGTTTCCTAATCCTCACCATCCCCCAGGTGACGTACCACCACTCAGGTCTGTTTTCAACCAGAATGTTCTCAGGTCTGTCTAACCAAAATCCCCTTTACCTCTTTTAGTAATCTTGTATCCACCGACCTGCATCTGGCTCCTCTCTAGCTACACATAGACAAGTGGCTACAAATTTCCACTTGTCTATGTTGTATTTGCAGTTGAACCTGATCTCTCTCTCCCATTGCAAGATCCCATTGCAGTGGCTCCCATATGTATCACAATGATCCTGAATAAAGTCTTCCTTACTGTGCTTTAACAATAATCACTGAATAAGTTTTTCTTTAACAGTCATAAGAACACTTGGCCTGCCATGTAAGATTCCCACCTTTGAGAATCTGAACTTGGCCTTGTTAGACTCCTGTCTGTGTAGTAGAGTTGCCTGGGAATTCATTGAAAATGAAGATCCCATGACAGTATTCCTATTTAACAAGTCAGAATGGAATGGAAGGAGGTGGCAGGCAGGGTCTCACAAACTGCTTTTTAAAAAATTTCCAGATGATGCTGATATAATTTGTCTTTGAATTTCGGGATTTCAATGGGCTAAAAAGAAAAAAAAAAAACTCCCAAATAAAGTTACCTTTGCTGAAATCTTCCTTTACAGGCTTTATAGTGTCTTCATTCAGTTTAGTGTCTACTTAGAAAATTCCTAAGTAGGGGGATAAACTATGGTCTTTTGATTAAATATAGGATTTTTATGTTAATTTGTTCTACTCTCTTAATGTTACCATATACATATGTAAATTTGAAGAGAACAAAGCCTTCTCAGGAGATTCCTATATATTAAGAAATACTTTTGACTTGGTACAGTGGCTCATTCCTGTAGTCCCAGCACTTTGGGAGGCTGAGGCCAGAGGACTGCTTGAGCCCAGGAGTTTGAGACCAGGCTGGGCTGAGACCTTGGCTCTACAAATATTAAAAATTTTAGGAGGCCGAGGTAGGTGGATCACTCAAGGTCAGGAGTTCGAGACTAGCCTGGCCAACTTGGTGAAACCCTGTCTCTACTAAAAATACGAAAAAATTAGCTGGGCGTGGTGGCACGTGCCTGTAATCCCAGCTACTCGGGAGTCAGAGGCAGGAGAGTCACTTGAACCCAGGAGGTGGAGGTTGCAGTGAGCCGAGATCATGCCACTGCACTCCAGCCTGGGTGACTGAGTGAAACTCTGTCTCAGGAAAAAAAAAAAAATATATATATATATATATACACACACACACACATATATATATATACACACACATACACACACACACACACACACACACACACACACACACACACATATATATATATATATAATTAGCCTGGCATGGTGGTCCATGCCTGTGCTCTCATCTGCTCAGTACTCAGGAGGCTGAGTTAGGAGGATAGCTTGAGCCTGAGCTATGATTGTGCCACTGCACTCCAGCCTGGGTGATAGAATGAGACCCTGTCTCAAAAGAAAAAAAAAAAAGAAAGACTTTTATTTGGCTAGCATTTAGAGAGTCTCTAAGGCTCTGGCATCTCTAGTCATGCAAGACATATTCCCACTGCCCTGTGTCCTGCAGTTGAGAATGTAAGGGATGAAGGTATTTTGGGCTGGCCACAATTGATAACAGCTGTTGAACAACTTATAAGCTCAAAAAGCTACCTCATATGATTTTTGTCATTTAATATTTACAGTAGATCAGTAAAGTGGACTTCCTTTGTATTTCTACTTATAAAATATCGGAATTCTTTTAAAGCAGCAAAAACGAATCCAGGAAGGGAAGCACAAATTAGAATTTGGAGCATGCAAGATTAGACCTGCAAGCGAGAAGGGGTTAAAAATAACATTTTTCTTAGCTAGAAGAAAATCAGTAAAAGGTAAGAAGGGTCTTGAGGAAATGATGTGGGCTGTGGATTGCAGAGATGAGGAAGGAGGCTCCATCTGGTTGACTGGCTCTCATTCTCCAGGACGGAGATGGGCAGTGCTGTCTTCTGTTTCCTCCCGACCCCATGTCCTTGGCTGAACACACATTCTTCCAGGACCCACAGGCAAATGTGAAGCATATTATATGTTCTGGGTTAAGTAATAGATGTTTTGAGTGGTTTCAAATGTGTTACTCATCCTCAAGAAGCTTTTAGGATGATTAAGGAGATAAAGTGTAGGCATTAGAAACAGTAAGTAAAGTGCAATGGATGCCTCCCATGAGTTTGTCAGAATTTTTTATTAGTTTTCTTGGGCTTCCATGAAGAAGTGCCACAAGGTGAGTGTAGTAAAACAACAGAAATGTATTGCCTCCCAGTTCTGGAGGCTAGAAGCCCCCCAAAAAAGGTTTCCATGGTACCATTCTCCCTGTGACACCTGGAGGGGGGACTCATTGTGCACCTCGTCTTGGCTCTGGCAGTTTGTGGGCAATCCTTGTATCCCTTGGCTTGCAGCTGCAGCACTTCAGCCTTTGCCTCCAGTGCCACATGACATTGTCCCCAGTGAGTCTGTGTCTCTGTGTTTCTTCTAATAAGGACATCAATCCTATTGGTTTAAGGGCCCACCCTACCCCAGTATGACTTCATCTTAACTTAGTAAATTTGCAATGACCTTATTCCAAATAAAGGTCATATTTTGAGGTACTGGAGACTGGGACTTTAACATATAATTTTAAGGAACACAATTGAACTCATAACAATTTACTTTTGTCATAATTATAACATTTTCCTGATGTTTTCAATATTTTCAGAGTATATTGGGCATTGTCCCATGTTAACAGGGAAGAGAACAACTGTGAAGATTTCATACAATTTCCTGGAGTCCTTAAAAGAGATTCTGTTTATGATCTAAGTACAAGATCCAATAGACTCACCTTTTCCTTTTAGTAATCTGAAAGCTGTGGTATATGGAGGGAAAAAACTTAAACATTTACTGTGTATAAATTTTGATGAAACAGCGGGAGAGTGGGCACAGCCGACCTTTACTAAGTCAGTATCCTGGATTAGCTAGGGCAATGCTTCAGGTCCATACAAAATGAAGAAGGAGTACCAAGCTTTACATGGAAAAACTGGATGCTTTCTCCATAAAAGGATGACAGCTCTCATCACTCTTATTCAACATAGTATGAAAACTTTTGTCCACAGGAATAGGGCAAGAAAAATAAATAATAGGGATACAGAATGAAAAACAAGAAAAGAAATAGCTCCTATTTTCAGTTGACATGGTTGTCTATACAGAAAATCCCCAAAGAATCCACCACTTAAAATCCACCTTCCAAAACAACACCTAGAACTAATTAAGTGACTTCAGCAAAGTTACAGGATATATCAACACAAAATGATCAATTTTACTTACATATAAAGCTAAACTAAAAATAAACATGCAGAATCCAAAATTAAACACATTATACCTTTTACGATTGCTGCAATGAAAATGACATACTTAGGTATGTGCTTAACAAAACATATGCAGAATTAATATATGTAAAATTGTTATAATGCTATTTAAGAAAAGAAAAAGACCTAAGTAGATAAAGAGAGATAACATATTCATGGATTGGGAGACACAGCATAGTAAAGATGTCACTTCTCTCTAAATCCATATGTTTTATTCAATTCGTATTAGAATTCCAAGAAGGTTTTGTATGGACATAGATAAGCTTATCCTAAAATTTATATGAAAAGGCAAAGTTCTTAGTTAAAAAATTCTTATAAAAGAATAATTAAGTGGAAGAATCACTCTCCCCAATATTAAGGCCTGCCACAAAGCCACAGTGATCAGTGGTGTGTTATTGGTGGAAACAGATTATAGGAGCATCATGTTCTTATGCCACTGTGCAGTAACAGACCAATACCCTGACATGGCAGGGTTTGCTGCAGAGGAAGAATTTAATGAATGCAGGGCACCAAGCAAGGAGATGGTACCCTTTGGAATTTGAAACCCTCAAATCCATTTCTCCAAGGAGTTATTGCTTGGGGCTTTTAAGGGGATCATGGAGGGTGAGGGGCTGGAAAATTGAGATCACTGATTGGTTAGGATAAGGGGAATGAAATCATCAGGATGTGGTGACCCCATTCTTTGATGAGTCAGCTTCTCACAGGGTCCCACAGACAGGTGGTATAAGTGGGGTCCTTTACACCAGCTGATATCAGTGGGGTTCTTCATACCAACTGAGTCAGTAGTTTCAGCAGTATGCAGAAGATGAAAGAATAGCTCAAAGGGAAAATTTAACATTTCATGATGTTCAAGTTGTTATCTATAGAGCAGGTAAGGAGAACTATAATTATGTAACTGTGTCTGGGTGGTTCTTTTTTTGTTTGTTTGTTTTTTTGTTTTGAGATGGAGTCCTGCTCTATTGCCCAGACTGGAGTGCAGTGGCGTGATCTCCACTCACTGCAACCTCTGACTCCCAGGTTCAAGCGACTCTCTTGCCTCAGCCTCCCTTACAGGGGCCCACCACCACGCCTAACTAGTTATTTTTATTTTTATTTTTAGTAGAGACAGGGTTTCGCCATGTTGGCCAGGCTGGTCTTGAACCCCTGACCCCAGGTGATCCTCCTGCCTCAGCCTCCCAAAGTGTTGGGAATACAGGTGTGAGCCACCATGCCTGGCTTGTGTCTGTGTGGTTCTAGGACAATAGGAAGCACATTGGGGAGCAAGCTGACCTAGTGATCAATGTGACTGTGCTGCAAGCTTGGTTTACCTTTGTTTTCCCCCTCCCTTCTTCCCTGATTAATTTTCTAAATTTTATAGGGCTGGTTTCACATAGACATAGATCAATGGAACAGAATAAAGATCCAGATATAAGCCCACAAAAATACACTCAACTGATGTTTGACAAAAGTGCAAAAGCTATTCAATGGAAGAAGGATAGCTTTTTCAATAAATGATACCAAAACAATTACACATCCATAGATTAAAAACGAACCTTGACCTAAATATCATAGCTTATATAAACGTTAACTCCAAATGAATCATGGACTTAGATTAAAAAAATTTAGTGCTATATAACTTATAGATAATACATAGGAGAAAATTTTCAGAATGTGGAGTTAAGCAAAGAGTTCTTAGGTTTGACACTACACAATCCATTCAAGGAAATGTATAATTAGAAACCATCAAATTAAAAACTTGAGCTCACTGCAAACCCCTAATAAGAGGATGCAAAGACAAGGTACAGACTGGAGAAAAATATTTGCAAATGACATATCTAACAAAGGACCTGTATAGAATATAGAATATAAGTCTTAAACTCAACAATAAAAATACAAATATTTCAATTAGAAAATTGGTAAAGGACATGAATAGAAATTTCACTTGAGGATATACAGATGGTAAATAAGCAAATAGAAAGGTGCACAGCATCATTAGACATTAGGAATATGCATATTAAAACCACAGTGAGATATCATGACAAACTTATCAGAATGGCTTTTTTTTTTAAAGTAGTGATAACAGCAATGTGGAGTGCATGTAGAGGGACTGAATCAGTGATATATTGTCGGTGAGGGATATGAAAAGGCACAGTCACTTGGGAAAAGTTTGGCAGTTTCTCATGCAACCGAACATGCAACTACCAAATGGTCCAGCAGTTGTGCTCTTGGTCACTCATCCAATAAAAATTAAACTATTTGTTCACAAAAACCTGTACTCAAATATTCATAGCAACTTAACTTGTAAAAGTCAAAAACTGGAAACAACCCAGTTGTCTTTAAGCCAGTAAGTGGTTAAACAAGCTAGTAAATCCTGACTGTGAAATACTACTCAGCAATGAAAAGCAGTGAACAATGGGTGCGTGCAACAACCTGGATAAGTCTCCGGGGACTTATCATGAGTGAAAAAGTCAATCCCCAAAGCTTACATACTGAATGGTTCTGTTTCTATAAAACTTTTGAATGATGAAATTATAGAAATTGAGAATAGATTAGTAGCTGCCAGTGATTAAGGACGGCAGAAGTGAGGTGCTAGGGGATTCTATCAAAGAGCGATGTGAGGATCCTGGTGATAACAGAATTGTTCTTTATCTTGACTGTAACGATGATGATATCCTAGTTGTGATACTGTAATACAATTTTGCAAGATTCTACTATTGAGGAAAACTGGGTAACAGGTAAATGAGAGGTCTCTGTATTATTTATCATACCTCTATGTTTATCTATATTATCTAAAATGAAATGTTCATTAAAAACAAAAACGGAAGAAGAGTAGATTTTACATGGTCATATCATCAACTTTCACGAATTTCCTGTAGCTGTAAGCAGATTTTTCTAAACTTCTCAGTCCCTCAGTACTCCACCAAGGAGAAGTCAGTGGCTCAGAAATGTTAAAATCACTTGCCCAAGATCACAGAGCTGGTAAATGCCAACGTGGTAATGAGCCCAGTCTGTCTGACATGCAACCTTGCCCTTCACAGGTCAGCCTGGCCTCAGAGCCAGCACAGGTGTGGGGTCCACACTCTTCTGCCAGAGGACTCATCCCCTTGCAGGCAGCAGCCATTTGGTGCATTAGGAAGACAAGCGTGTGACTTTCAGGGTAGATGAACTCATAAAGCATTCAGCATGTCAGGCTGGAGTCTTTGCCTTGTTTGGAAAGTGCAAGATAAATTTCAGCAGGCTACGGTTTGTTTGCAGATGCTGGGAATAATCTAATCTACTATTTCAAATATAATTTAGATTTAAGAGGTGTTTTACTGTTCTGTTTCCAGAGTGCCTGAGGATCCAGCTGAGTGTATTACACATCACATTAGATTAAGGTCAATTAACAACATTGTGAGGGATTGCTCCTCTTCATAATGAGATGGAGCTGCAAATTTGTGATTAAAATCCTGTATGTTAGCACCAAGGAATGGAGAGATTCTAGACAAGCTCCAATTATGATTAAGGCTACGACATGGGCCCAGTGGGTCATGGTATGTCATAACTCCCTGAACTTTCTAAGCAGCATTATTGAACAGCTTCGCATTTGGAATCAAATGGGTAGAGGTGACTGTTGTGCTGAGTGGCACATGTTTGGATTTTCGATTTAAATATGTTGAAAGCACCAGAGCCCAGGTGGAAGAAAGGGTTTTTCCCTCAGTTCTAGCAACAGCACACATGTGCTACCCTCAGAGTGAGACAGGAGGTGACCCCAGTGGTGCGTCTGAGAGTAGGGTGACAGAGGACAAGGGAGCAGGGAGGTTCTGTCATCAAGGAGAACAAGTGTGGAAATTGACACTGGGCAGAACTGGACATGAGTGCCAACTCTGTCCTCTATAATTTGTGCAAATTTAGGCAAATCACTTAACTGCCTGAACTCTTTTTTTCAGCTGTACAGTGGAAATGGGGCTTTGTTACTTTTAAGATGCAGATGAAGTGAGGCTCAATATATAAAACAGCTTGTACATGGGGAGGGGCTTAAAAGTGGCAGATATAATAAAATCAAAGCTTTCCAAATGATTTCAGCATTAAAAGGAACAGCAATTGTCAACTAATCTACCTGTCCCTCCCATCTACTCAGGAGGACAGTGGGGGTGATTTTTATCGTCAAGTGGCTGTTATTTATCATTGTCTTCTTCGAAAATTATCTAAAATTCATTTCTTTAGAAAATATTGATTAAATACAGATTATTGTATAGTGGACAACAGTTGCTAATTTCAAGGTCTGAGAGTTAATCAAATTGCATATGACATAAGATTGAAACATTCCCATGATGTCTACATGAGCATCTGGATATCCTAATTTACTCATTAGTTGTCTGTAAGCAAGGGTACCACAGAAAGCTCCTTGAGCTCTTTGAGCTTCAATTTCCCTGTTGACAAAGTGGGAAGAGTGATTCCTACATCTCAGAGCCATGAAGTTCGCAAGAGATGAGGTATTTGATATATCTGTATTAGAAGCCCAGTCAGCCGAGTAGTCCTTAAAAAACTGGAGTGATGAAGGGAGACCTACTGACATCAGCAAGTTCATGGTTGCCTTTGAGCATCAGTAGGAAATTGATTTGTATGCCTGGACTTAGTCTCATAAAATGTCACATGTGCTGTCTTCTCCTAGAACACACTCCATACATGCTTCCTAGAGATTTAGGTTAGTGCTGGCTCCAGTTATGGTCTGTGTTTATTTAACTGTTCATTTAATTTCATAGTTCCTAACTAAGAGGAAGTTCCTAACTATTGGAAGAGTCATGTGTGTGTCCCAGAAGCTGCTTGTTTTTGCTGGGTGGTGTGCTGTTGCTGGTTTGTACTGGGTCAGGAGAGCTGTATTTTAAGTTATTGTGACTTCTGAAAGCCATTAAAAAACAAACAAACAAAATGGTGGCTTGATATTTATTGGCCATGTTACCGTATTCCCAAGTACATTGACACCATGGAAATCTGCAGAAGCTACCAATCGGGGCTCCCTGCTCTACTACCTGTCCTGGCCAAGAGCCAGCTGTGAAGCCTCTATCTGTGTCAGCTTAGCCACGCTTTCTAACTTCCACACATGCATCCATATCCAGGTGAGATGAACATCCATTTCCATTTTGATTCTCACTGGTGCATGCAGGGTTAAGAGTTGCTTTGCTCCCCGCTGAGACTCAAGAGCTATAAACACCAGGTGAGGCACACTCTGAGGCCCAAGCACAGCCTTTAGGGAGATGAGGAGGGGAAGGGACTGGTAGGCCTGCTGTTTGCTTTGAGGAAAACAAAAGGACAATGGAAGATGTGTCTTTCAAAAAGTAAACTTGACACTTTGGGAGGGCAAGGCCAACAGTTCACGAGGTCAGGAGTTCAAGGCCAGCCTGAACCAACATAGTGAAACCCCGTCTCTACTAAAAATACAAAAAAATTAGCTGGGTGTGGAGGTGCGTGCCTGTAATACCAGCTACTCAGGAAGCAGAGGCTGGAGAATCGCTTGAACACTGGAGGCGGACGTTGCAGTGAGCCAAGATCGTGCCACTGCACTCCAGCCTGGGTCACAGAGCAAGACTCCATCTCAAAAAAACAAAAACAAAAACAAAACAAAAGTAAACTTGAGACATCTAAAAAGAACTCCATCCAGCGTTCCTGAGGGCATCCCTCCAGTCTCACTTTTCTTCTGGGTTACAAACGTCCTTGCTTCCTACCTCCAACTCGACTCTGCACCTAGTGGTTCCTTCCCTTTCCAGATTTTTAATGACCAGAACCCTGCAGTGCCCTTCCTCTTACACATAGCCTTGGTCAGTCCAACCTTCCTCCCAGCCATTCAGCTGTGGGCCAGTGCTGCTGCAGCCCTGGGGTCCAAACCCCAGCTCCTGCTGCTGCCTGGGGCCCAGCTCCATCATCACTGATGACTGTTGTGGGTGGGGTGGGTGGAGGTCATAGTGGGCAGCACAGATACTATGCAGACCCGGTGGTGAAAGCCACCTTCCCATCCTCCCTACAGTTGTCAGTGAACAATGGCTAGGGAGCGGTCAACAGAACACTAATGTGAGCTTTGGGAAGTAGGGAGGAGTCAGGGCATGGAGGATCACTTGATACCATTTAAAAGACTGCAGATTTTGTCTGGAAAACAAAGAAGAACCAGTCAAAGTTTTCTGAGGGGCTAGATTTGTGTTTTGGAAATATCCTTCTGAGTTTATAACAGGATTGCTTTGATGCAAGCACAGTGAATAGGCTGTATCCAGATGCTATGGGAGGTAAATGTTGATGGTAGCAACAAAAGAAACAGAAAATGAGGGTCAGGAGTTACAACCTACATCCATGAAGATGAAGAAGAGGAGCTGATTTTTTTTTTTTTTTTTTTTTGGTGGGACTACCAAAGTCATTCTTTGAATTTAAGTTGATTTTCCAAGTACCAAAAGCCTTGTTGCAAAATAGTTGATTATCCATCTATAAATAAAATGGACTTTGATTTCTCTTAATCACTGCAGTGTTTTACCTTCTGCTTAATTACAGAAGATCAGGTGCACTCTCTTTCCCTCCAAGCCACTGTTACAAAAGTGAAAGGCACACGCAATCCAGAGTTGAAAACTTATGAACAATAAGAAGCTTTACATACATAGTACATCTTTAGTAGGAGCTGGTATCCAGTTAATTATCTTATTAATTTCCATGTTACCCTTATGAGACAGGGACAAAGTAGGTATCATTACCTTCATTTCACAGATGAAAAAACTAAGGCTAAGGCAGGCAGGCTAAATAATTTCTACTTTCTCAGCGTTTCTGAAATGGATGCAGTGGTTCTTTCCCAGGGAAACCCAAGGGAAAGGGAAATGTAATTGACTCAGCCTTAGAGCAATCACTTAGAAAAACCACAAACTAGGCCGGGCGCGGTGGCTCACGCCTGTAATCCCAGCACTTTGGGAGGCCGAGGCGGGTGGATCATGAGGTCAGGAGATCGAGACCATCCTGGCTAACAAGGTGAAACCCCATCTCTACTAAAAATACAAAAAATTAGCTGGGCGAGGTGGCGGGCGCCTGTAGTCCCAGCTACTCGGGAGGCTGAGGCAGGAGAATGGCGTGAACCCGGGAAGCGGAGCTTGCAGTGAGCCGAGATTGCGCCACTGCAGTCCGCAGTCCGGCCTGGGCGACAGAGCGAGACTCCGTCTCAAAAAAAAAAAAAAAAAAAGAAAAACCACAAACTAAAATAAATGAAAAAGATAAACAGTGTCACATGTTCTAATTAATCCCATAGCTAGTTTAGAAAGAGCCTTGTGGACTGCAGAAGCAGGCTTTCTGGCTAACCTCTCTCTACCTGTGCAGCAAAAGTCACTATGACATCAGCCACCAGGCAATGGAGGATGCGGACCTGCTGAGTCCATGGAAGGCCCCTATGCTGGAGGCATTTGTTTGTATTCATGAGCAATCATATATATGTATCATATATAATTATAGAATAAATGTAAGTCTGTATGTGTGAACATACACATGCATATAGTTTTATGTAACTATAAACACTATGCATGGTATAATGATATTTTATGTAACAAATATGACTTCATGTGACTACATTAACATGATCGTATCATATATGAAGATGGGAAATAGACAGCTTTAATCTTTTCCCCATACTTTACACCAGCCTCCTCATTCAATTCTCCTTTTTTTCTCCACTAAAAGACCACTCCCTTGTTAGTAAACCCAAATTCATAGCCTCCATATAACCAAATTTATATATTTGTCTGTATTTTTCTCTGTACTCATATTATCTTTTGTAGGTACACATATATAGAAATGTTTTTTCTGCTCAATATTATTGTTTATTCCACAAAAGACATCTTATACAGACTGAAAACAAATTTTGTTGAAATCTTCCAATTCCATTGGCATAACTCCAATTCATTTGTTGATTTTTTTTTAGCATTCCCTGCTATGGATATACAATAGTTTATTCCAGACATTCCCTACGGATGGGCAGTCCCTTTGTGAACTCTTTTTAATTCTATAGGACAGCTCCTAGAGTTGTATTTGCTGCATCAAAGAGAATATATGTTTCTAATTTTAGAGTCTTATAAACTGTTTTTAAAACATTGTCAGATTACTCCAGCAATGTGAGGGTGCCCTATCCTCACATATCTGCCATCAGTAATTTTTCCTTTTGTTGAAAAAAGTTGGCAGATTCATAAATGTAAAGAAATAGTCATTGATGCATTAATTTGCACTTCACTCATAACTGTTACATCTGAGAATGTTTTCACATATCTGCTGGCCATTTGGATTTGCTCCTGTGTAAATGGTCTCTTCTAATCCTTTGCCCATTTTTCCCACTTACCTTGTTTGTTCTCTTTTTGCAAATGTGTAAAAGATATTTGTCTATTATTAATAATTGACATCTGTCCTCATTGAAAATACTTCTCCAAGTATTTTTGTTATGTTTTGTGCTTATGGCATATAAGAGATGCATCTGGCATCTCTCATTATATATAATTTAATTTTTCAAGTCAATTCAGGTAGGTTCATATCTATTTTGCCTTGAGAATGTCCATCGAGGTTCCAGGATTTCCTTTTTTTTTTTTTACATTTAAGACTTTAATCCATTTGGAATTTATATTTTGCCATGATGTATGAAGGGGGTCCAGTTTTATATTCTTCCAGATGGATAACCAGCTGTGACTGTACCATTTATTAAACAATCCATTCCTTACCACTGAATTAAAATGCCATCATTGCCATTTATCACATTCTCACAACCAATGTGGTCTTTTACTTTATTCCCTCTTCTAGTCCATCAATGTGTCTATGTATTCCTAGACCAAACCACAGCCATATAATTTCAGTAGCTCTGTAGTACTGATTTGTTATACCAGCAATTCAAAATTCAAACGACATTTCAAAATGCCCTCACTGATTCTCCAGGATTTATACTTTCATGAAATCTTTCCAGCACTTTTATTCAATCCCTGCATATGTTACTGACATTCTAATTGGAACTTTATCGCATTTATGTTTTTTTTGGAAGCTTTGGTATATTGATATGTATTATCTAACTACCTGTCATGATATGAACCTTATAATCCACTTTTCAGACCTTATTTAATAGTGTGTCTTTGGCCATCTGTAGCCTCAGCAGCTGGGAGATGCACAAGGCGGAGGAGAAGGCAGAGCAACAAGCTCAGCGTCTTCATGATTCTCCGCCTGGCCTCCTTTCCACGGTCTCTACCCACCCCTCCATGCCTGTCATTTGCCTGTTTGGTCTCAAGCTAGTTCCTTGTTTTTCTGTTTCTGTATCGTAGGAAGTTCCATTACCCAGAATCTCTTGCCCTCTGTCTTCCTGCTAAATTCATTCAATAGGAGGTTTGAGGACAGAGGCAGGGCAGAGGGAGGGTATTTCTTTGTACTTTCTCTCTCTTCCCACCAGCTGCCCCAGAAAAAGTGCTTTCAGGGAGATTCCAGCTCCTCCTAATCAGTCTCACCCCAGTTTTAGCTCATTCTGGGCAGCCCTGGCTCTTGAATCCTGCTAGCAGCATTCTTGTCTGATCCCTCCAACCCTAGAGTACCAGAGGTTCCTGCTGCTTGCTAAGCCCAAGAAGGCTTCACCATTCTCTGTGAAGCTGCTAAGTTCTGCTGTCCCTCTGTAACTAATTCCCTGCATTAAATTATTTTTGTTTGAAACACCTAGAGTCATTTCCATTTTTCTGTCTGAATCATGACTAACACATCATCCAAACATATTTCTCATCACTCTCTACTTGACATTGAAAATTTCCTTGAAGCACAGTAATAAAGGGGGATTTTTTTCTTTTTTTGACCTCTTTGCACATTTTCTTCCCTAGTTGTAGGAGGTCGGTTCTGACTGCCCTCTGCAGGTATGCACACACCTTCCTCTCTACACCCACTACATCGTACGTGTGTCTCCGGAAATCGCCTCAGTAATATACAATCTCTATACTAGCTGTGGAGCAACTTGAGGGCAGCTAGCATGGGTTTTATTTATTCCCAAGGGCTGATTTGCTTGCTGTGTGGTAGGAGCAGGTGCCCTGTATACATGTGTGGAAAAAAGAGAGGATGGAGAGAAGGAAGGAGATAGGGAATGAAGGATTCTGCGAGGGCGTGAATGTTAATGTTGTAGCAGTAAGAGGGTACTTCATATTTCAGAGGGGAAAGGATACGTCATAGACCACTAGGGCTAACTGTGTTTGTAGCATGGTAGGGTCATGTGGAATAGGGCTTTAATGATTATGTGTAGCTTTTGGAAAAATGAAACATGAATTAATACTAAATCAGTATAAAATGTGAGTCCTAGTTTATTTATTTTGATAAAGGCAACAATAATATGTATTTGTACAGTGCTATGAATTTAAAACATAATCACATATTTAAAAAAATCTAAAAGTCTACAAATATGTGTTAAAAATCACCTGCATGAAGTCAGGAAATAAATGAAATTAGGCCCATAATAATAATAATGGGAATACAGTTTGGAAAGCAAGAAGTAAAATTATCTTTATTTATAGTCTATGTAAAAAATACAAAAAAGTTACTAGAAATAGTAAGTGAGCTTAGCAAGGTTGCAGGGTAAAAGTTCAGTATATAAAATTAATTGAAATTATACATATGTACAGTGAATAACTGGAAATAAAACCTAAAAATAATAATATAATTTGTAATAGCAATAAAAATGCAAAATACTTAGGGATGAATATAACAAAATATGTGCAAGAACAATATACTGAAAAATATAAAATGTTGCTGAAAAAAATTATAAAAAACCTAAATGAATAAAAAGATATTTTACAGTCATGAGTCAGCTGACTTAAGGTTGTTAATATGTAATTGACCTATGGACTCAACATAATCGCTATCAAATCTCAGTATAATCTTAAATGTGCAGTAACGTGAGGTGTGAGCATACTGCATCACTGAACCTCTCTGCGTCCTGGCTTACTTATCCAGTAGGGACCTGGATTCCCTGGTCCTTTAGCTCTATTTCAGTTCTAAAATTGTATTCTAAATCTTATTTTTCTTTCCAATGACAACAACAAAACACACACACTCTCTCTCTCTCTCTCTCTCTCTCTCTCTCTCTCTCTCTCTCACTCTCTCTGTTACCCACATTCTATTTAGAAAAGTAGGACATCTATTATAAATTCAGCTGGAAAAATATTACTTGAACCTCTGATGAGATTGAATTGGAACCCTTTCCAAGAGCTATTCCAGAGAGACGAGAAGATAAACAGGTGAGCCGCAGAAGAAGAAGGGGCTAATAGAGAGGGACAACTGTTTGATTAGATGCTTAGATTGAAGCTTGGAATAAGCTAAGAGGTCAGAGAAGATAAGTTTTGCGTGCGCGCGCGCGCGCGCGCGCGCGCGCACACACACACACACACACACAGATTGCTGAGGTTTGCTGTGAAGCTTAGGCAATTCAGAGTCTTGTGAAGATTTAGAAATAAAAAATTTTGTAGGCATGATTGGGAGGGACAGGGATTCGGGTGGGGTGGGACACTCGGAGTTATCTGACAATCTAATAAAGATGCAGGGAATTTATAGTTTCAGGGCACCTCCAGATATCAAATAAGAATAAAGAAATACCTGATAATTGACCCAATGATGAATTAATTGGCATATTAGCTGTAATACAATTTTTCACAACTTGACTCACCAGAAAAATTACTGCAGTTTTGTTCCCTATTAATGCATTTGAATTTATACTTTATTAAAGCATTAAATCTCCTGGGAAAGGGTATTTGATCTTTCTTTTTCTTAAGGGGTTTTCTAAATGTGGCCTTCAAGATAGGCAAATTTTAAATTTTAAAACTTGTAATTTGAGGAAAATATGTGCTAAAAAATAGCTCCTGCCTCGTGATGCTTTGGGCATGCTCACCTCCCTTCATGAAATGGACAAACCTTCCATGAGCACCTGCTATCTGCCAGGCCACAAAGTGGTGCTGGAGGTAAAAGTCTCTTTAGTTACAGGCCCTGCCTTCAAAGATCCCACAGCGCCTCCTGCAGGAGTTACTTTGAGTGCTGTTTGGAAGATACCAGGGAGGCAGGACTAGAAAAATGAGTTACTTAAAAGAGAAGGCACTGGAAGTCTCCTTAGGGACCATGTTAGCGCTCCAATGCCCCAGGACCCCTGAGATGTAAAGCTGGTGATGAGGTAGGCCAAGGGAGAAAATGCAACACAGTTCCTTTGAGAATTACAGGATGAGTTTCCCACCTCCATCCCATGCTTTCCTATCTGCTTGCAGTTCTCCAAGAGGGATGCGATTCCCTGCACCTCTGCCTCTCTTCCCTCCCAGCTAACTCAGATTGCCTTTGTGAGTAGCATATTTACCCAAAGCAGATTGAATCATGAAGTTCACTGCTGATGAGGACAGCAGTGTCTCTATTTTCATAAATGTGAATTGGGTATTCTCACTAGAAGAGGTGTTGGCCAACCTGGCATGCTGCTTTCAGGGATACCGGCCACAGGAGATCAATGCAGGGGGCCGTGGCTCTGGGGAATTCTTGTGGATTCAGAACAGGAGTCTCAGGTTCCTGGGTTTGGGGTGAATGTCCCAACACACTTTTCTTGCCAACCCTAATCCCTAACTAGCTAAGGGCAGATCCCAAGGAATGTTTTCCAATGTGACTCCTCCTTGGCAGTGGAGACGGAACTGTCATGTTTCCAGTTCCAGACCTATTCTTTAGAAAGCTTTCCCCTTGAAGTTCATTTCTTCTCAACCAAAGCCCTGGTTCTCTCCTGAAAATGATGAAGCCTTTGGAAAGTCCCTTTCCTTCTCTGGGTGCTTATTTCCCATTTCTAAGGTGAGGATGGGAGCCTGGGGAATGTGCTTGTGCTATTTCTTTGAAACCAACAGTACAAAGGGTTGGAGGCTGGATAAGGGTATGGTTAGATAGAAGGTTGGTTATGGTGTCTGTATCCTCCAGAGTTGCAGAAGGAATACATGACATGATCAACACAGCTTTTAATTAAATAGATTTGTAAGGAAAGTCCCATTTACCTGAAATGGAATAGAGTCTTTGGAAAGACCCAAAGATGCAGGTGGAGCTAAGGAAATAATAGATGGCAAAACAACCAGAGAGTAGTGACAGTGGGAAGCTGTTCCTACTCTTGGTCTGAAGGAGAATGGGAAGGGTCATGTCACCAGCACTGGTGACAGTTGTAGCTGTGTTAGAGAAACTGCCCAGAGAAGCCATGAGGGAACATGTGGATACACAGATTCCCCCTCCTTTCTGCTCTCTGCTCATCTCCCACAGGCTCCTCCCATCTTCTCATCTGCAGTGCTACATCTTGTTATCTATAGCCAACCAAAAGCTGGAAGGCAAGGGGGTGCACCTGATGCAGTGCATGGAGATCAGCCTCTCCGGACAAAGAGCAAGGCAGGAAAGGTTCAGGTCTATCCAAGAGGCAATCAAAGCATCACCAGCACAGTAGGATGGCTGCTGGAAGAAATCAGCCCTGAGGTACTACTGCTCAAATGCAATAGAAGTCTATTTTTTCCTCAGATAATTGTCCAGAATGGATTTTCCTGGTTGGTGGGTGCCTCTACTCCACTCAGGAACTCAGGGACTCAGGACTGCTCCAGCTGGTGACTTCCCCTCCTCCTGGGGCATCGTCTGTGTTGCCATCCCACCTTCGGAAGGGAAAAGGGGCATAAAGACACATCTGTGTAAGGTTTCTTAAGAGCCATGCCTGGAATTGGCAAGTATCATTCACATTCACATTTGTTTAAAGACAGTTTGGTTACACATTCACATCATACTACAAGGGATTCAGTGCAATGAAGAGGAGTTTTGTGCCGCCAAAAGGGAAAATAGAATTCTGTTAACAAGTAGCATCTGGGAGAGAATTCTGCAGAATCCAGAATTCTGAGTTTTCTAAAAGATCACTATTCTACCATCTTGGAGTAGGAGCTCTGTGAGTGAGATTCAATATCACTGAACCCCACCCTCACCCCAACATAGAGGAAAACCTGTAGTAAGAGAAAAATCGCTCTAAAGTGATTTTAGGCTAAAGCCCCTGACACACGTAAGTGACATTCTCAGAGTGATGTCTCCACTCTACAGTGAAACACTCACACTCATGTTTATCTCACTCCTGCCTCCGTCAGGGTTCATTTCTTCCTTTCTTCTCACTGTGGTCCTGTGGGTTACTTCTGTATTGAGCACCACAAATTAACTTCACCCATAATCTATTCCAGCCCCAGGGACCCCAGTTGCCACAATCCAGTGTCCCCCTGGATAAGCATCAAGTCTTGAGACTGAATATACTTTGTAATCTCCTCCAGTGTACAATAGAAAAAAGAACTGCAGTTGTAAAGATTTCTGCACAAAGGCCTCATTCTGTATCATCTGTCACATAACCAGTCTCATTAAGTATCCAACCTTGAGAGATCAATAAGCATTGACCTGATGACACATTATTCCTTGAAACCATCATAGATGTTTTTGATATGTGCTTTTTGTTGTTGTTCAATAATTTATTTGAATGAGTGCCCATTTATTTTCAGAAAATTACTTTTGGCTTTGTTAAAGAGGCGTATGCATGAAGAAGAGCAACAAGCCATACTGGTCCTTGTCCATGCGTCTATACTGGTCCTTGTTCATGCGTCTGGTTGTGCTTTTCTCATTGTTCTCTACCTGGAGTCTCAGACCATCACAGAAGCTATGGTATTAGCAGGGGAATAACCATCAGACCAGACTACAAAGAGGAAAGTTGGGTTTCAGTGCATGATATTCTCTATACGTTAGCCATAATGATTTGAACTAGCGCATACCCTTGTCATTTATAAGAAATGTTCTACAATATTCTAAATTCCCTAAATTTGCATAAATTGTAGCATGTAATTCCAACCTTAGATGCAGTAAATATAACTGGAAAATGTAATTGAACCCCATAGACCCTAAACTGTTGTATAAATATAGAACCAAAGTAATTTATTAAGCTATTTTCTGGCTAAGAATCAGCATTGTCTATTCATTGGCACTGCAAGCATTAGCAATTGGCCCTCTCTTCAGGGTCATTTTCTGCAAAGAAATAAAGTCTTCATACTTTCACCACAGTTTGTGCTTAAGCAATGAGAAGGATGAAAGCTGCACAATCTCGCTGAGAGGCTAGCTCAGCAATTCTCAACTGGCATCAGTCTCCCAGCCCTGAGCAAAATTATAGCTTGTTGCAAGGATCCAGATCTTTGGGCATCTGCACATGAAGTGCAGACCTTCCAGCAGGCCCAGCCCCAATCTTTGCTCAATTCACTCTGTGTAGGTGCTAGTGTTCTCTGAAAAGCGGTTCTTAGCTCCCAGGGTAAGTCATGTGTCTTGTCTGGTTCCATACAAGGTCCTGTGCCTTTCCGTATCAGGAATTTTACCACATGTGTCTATTTATACATCCGAGTCCTGCAATAGACTTTTAGCTTCTTGACCAGGCACTGTGACTCAGAAATTACATAGCCATTGGATACTTTCCTGGAAGAATTTCCTTGAGAATTCTGTGGAGATATTTTGTCAACTTTTACAGTATCAAGCAGCAGGTGTCAGAGCTGAGATTTGCTCCTGGACTGATTCCAAAGCTGCAGACTGACCAATGCATCTTCCAACCGAAAGTAAGAGGATTTCGTGACCCTCTGAGGCTGGGCATGCTGCTTCCACCTAAACTTAGGATGGTTGTAGGAAGTCACTTCTCTCAGGGGCTGTGCAAATTCAATCTCAAGAAGTTGTTGACATCCTTTTGGGCTATAAGCAGGAATAAGGCATTGCATCTGCCGTGGAGTGGCTGGACCTAATGAAAATCCTATTTTATATTTAGGCAAAATAATTTCTACATGATTTTTCCTATCTTCTTTCTTCAGCATCTGCTATCACATCATACTGCTCCAGTTGTGTTTCTGGATCCACTCCACAGTTCTCACTTCTTCTTTCAGCATTATTTACTGGCAAGTGTTAAACAGTCAGTATGGGCCAGAGGAGAGGAGGGAGCCTAAATTTGCAGTGTTTGCTGACTTGGAGCTAAAACATTTGTCCAAGCATTTCAAGGACAAGAGCAAAATTGTGGAAGGTGGATCGAAATTATGTGAAGAAACAAACATCAAGATTACAGAAAGAAGTGCCAATAACATTAGCTATGAGTAATAGAATAGAAGATGAGATTGCAGTAACTGGAGAAGGCATTAGTGGTGGGCTCAGTGTGCTACGGTCAGAGCAAGGAAGGAGGGGGCGCGGCTGGACACTGCGCTTCTACTCCTGTGGCCTAAGCTTGTGTTGCCTTCTGGTAGTGGCTTCCTGACCCTGCTAGTTTATGTGCAGGCAAAGCCACTGCTGATAAAGAAAATATAGTCAATGAAGACAATCTATGGTGGTGAGATGTACACATTTTTGGAACAACTTTTTTATTTTTATTTAAAACAAGCAAACAAAAACAAACACCAGTCACATCAAAAGCAGTTCTGTGCATTTTGCACTGGGAGGAAAAACATCCCAATCCCAAATATAATTTTCTAAAACTTACTCTTCATGAAAGCTTTAAGATGTTCCTTTCTCAAGACAACAAAACAAAACAAAACAAAACATTAAAGCTTCACTAAGACTAAATACCGCAAACTACCAGGAGAAATGCAAGTGTCAAGTTGAAGAAAGCACCTTAAGGAAATTTGTGAATGTGAAGCAACTAATTACTGTTTCCCTCTGGGCAAAGTTTATAATAGCACAGAAAAAAGTGGCCAAATGTTATGTGGAAATGCTTATGAATAACTCAGGACTTCACAGACTCTGTGACCTTAGGAATGCATTACCACCTGTGATGTATGCCTCTGGGACAAATGCCTTGTGGTCAGGTGTGGGCAGATAAGTGCTGGGAAGACAGTCCCTCATGTGCACAGCCCAAGAATTGCCCAGAATTGTGTGGCCTAAAATCTTATTATCTATACTTTTGTTGAAGTTTGCTAAGAATTTTGATTGCCAAGAATCTTCCTTTAAGTACTCCAGGAGGAACTTTTCATTGACACTATTGATAGGGAACAGCCTAGCACACTGGTGCTCTACCATGAATGCACATTTTGAATCTCCTGCGGAGCTATACAGAAAAGTCCAGCGGGCATCTAGACTTCCTCCTCAAGATTTCTGATTAAACTGGGCATTCCTAGTAAGTCTCGGGAGAAGCCTGGACAAGGACGGTTTTTGAAAGCCAAACGGGATGGGGCTGTTGAAAAGCAGAGTATCATAGGATCAGTTCCTCTGGAATAACTTATGAACAACGTTTTGCTTTCTCCAGCATTGATGTGATTTTAAAATCAGGGTTAGTGTTACACCAGCTGAAGCAAGAGAATATTAATATTGTGGCCACATGAGGGACCCCCATGTCACAATTCTCTGCTGACTACCGCATATGACAATAATTCGCCTTCCTAAATGCTCTGCATTCTCTATTTTCACAACCACCGGTGAGACAAGGGATATCAGATTGGTTTCATTTGTCATGTCATCCCTAATAGATGGGTGGTGATTGCCTGAGTGCTGTGTTGCAAAACAATCAGAGGTTGTATCTGACAACAGCAGTAAAAGCTACCTGATCAATTAGTGATGTCTGCCATGAGTGCTTGGAATGAGGAATGGCAATGCACAGGACAGGCTTTGCTAGCTTTGCATAACTCAACAGAAGCAGAGAGTTGTCTGCAGATGACCTTATGTATCTCCACATGTATATTACAGAAGAGTGCCCTCTCCCATCAGAATAGTAGGATGTATTAGGTTTACTTATATAACTAGTCAATACCTTAGGAGGTCTTTTAAGCTTAGTATTAGAAACTTTTTTTTTTTGCTTTTTGTTTTCTCTGCCTTTCATAAAACACAATGGGCATAGAAAGCACTGATTGTAAGAGGCTTACAGTTTCACTAGAGAAAGTGTATGTGCAATCAACAACTAATAAGCACAGTATTATTTATTGTGACAGAATTGTGTGCTGATATAATAAAGATGATAAAGGGAGTAAATTCTTAATGATGTGGTCTGAGGAACAAACACTAATTCTATAGTCCACCAGATACTGCTTTGACCAAGCGGATATTAGAGGCAAATGGGTGAATTCACATTCTGAGCAGAGCTGGTTTCTCTCACAAATAATCACAACACAACACGCGCAACCTAACACAGCACAGCATGAGTCTCATCACCATATTATTCTTTAATCAATTCAGTGATAATTTGTCCAACTTCTCATTAACTTTCTTTTCTCATAGGCAAGTATTCCAGCTTATTAGCTTTATATAAAGAACAAGGATCTAGACATCCAACAGACCTTTCAGACCTCAGCTCTGCCACTTAACTTTCTGGCCTCCAGAAAGTCTCTGATGCCTACAAATCCCTGTTGCCACATACAAGGTAGATATAACAAAACTTCCCTTGCAGGAATATTTTAAGATTTAAGAAGATATGTCAACAATCTGGTGCTTAATAGGGTTTCATTAAATGGCAAGATATTATTTCCTGAATTATAAAATGACATTGATTTTAAGATGCGCTCTTGAATTAATAGAAAGTTTCCAGGGGGGAAAAACATCCCTTCATTATAACGTACATCTCATTGTAATGTGAGTCTGAATTTTATAGACTATAACATGTGAAGTGCGTGTGAGCCTAGCAGCAGCGATATGTTGCCAGAACCAGCATGTACAGCCAGAACAAGCATATGAACAGCAGCAAATGTTCCTCCAGAGCCTACCATGTGCCAGGAACTGCCATCAAACATTTAATTCTCACAGGAACCCAACCAGGTTGGTCCTATTAGCCACCACATGTTACAGACAAGGCCACTGAGGCACTACTATGAGAGTAAATTGGCTAAGCCCTCATAGCCAGAAAGTGACAGAGCCTGAATTTCAGCCGGGCGTCCTGGCACTCAAAGCCATGCCCTCAGCACCGTGCTGGGCTCCCCAGGGCTGGCTGCCAGAAGGTGTCTGGACCTGTTAGTGGAGGAACCCTGAGGACTGGCAGGGAGGGGGCATCAAAGCAGAATCAAGATGGAAGCTGACTCACCATTGAGAGAGGCTGCCTGTAGGCCAAGGGAAGTACCTACAAGGCAGCTGGACACTGAGACTGGAAGCCCAGGGAGTCAGAAGATGGAAGGCAGGAGTGAGGCACGTGAGGAAAAGCAGTTCTGGGAAAACACAGGAAACCAGCCACATGTGCAGGTCATGGGGTCTGATGCTTTCTGTCAAGAGGTAAGTGGACATGGGTACGCTGACATTTTCCTACATGCAACAGGCTTTGAATCTGGTTCCCTGTTTCTTCTGAGGCCATGCACGCATACCTCAAGACCAAGAGAACAGTTGAAGTATGTTACGGGTTAAACTGCATCCCCTCCTAAAATTCATATATTGAAGTCCTGACCCCAAGTACCTCAGAATGTGACCTGATTTGGAGATGGGGCCTTTGCAGAGTTAGGTTAAAATGAGGTCTTTAGGGTGGGCCCTAATCCAATGTAACTGATGTCTTAATGAAACAGGGAGATTTGGACCCAGACATGCCCGTACAGGGAGATCACCATGTCCACCCACAAAGCCAAGGAGAGAGGTCCGGAGCAGGTTCCCCCTCACAGCCCGCGGAAGGAACCAATCCTGCTGGCACCTTAACTTCACATGTCTGGCCTCCAGAACTGTGAGAGAATGTTGTGTAAGCTGCCCAGTTTATGTTACTTTGTTATTAATCCGGGATATATTATGAACATCTGGTTATCAATAGGCTGATTCATCCAGTTAGTATATTTGAAAGAAGGAAGTGTCTTCCTGAGTCTATGTATTTCATATATGACAATTTGTTTTAAAAAAGCACATTGTGAAAATGTGTATTGGCATATTCTTGTATTTTCCATGTCAGAATTCATTTATACACTTACTTCTACACCAAAAACTAGAGATATGACTGTGGACATTGGTATCAACAATGGAACATTGTGTAAACTGATATCTTCAACACATACACCTGCTCATTGTTCTCTGTGAACTTACTCCAGAGATGAATAGGGTCATCACGATGAATTGTTGTAGAAGCCAGAACATGTATTCAGGATATGAATATATTTTCTTTAAGGTAACAATATAGTTACATAACCAGGGGCTATGAGAACACCAGAACACTACAACTAACCCAGCCAGTAGGCTGGAAGCGGGCAGAGGGACTTGGGGAGAGCTTCCCAAAAGAGCTGGCCCCTGAGAGGAGCCTTACGATATGCACCTCAACATTTAGTTTAACAGACGTTCATCCACTGTCTTTCCTCCTACTTTTCTTCTTAGCAAAATGAACCTTCCCACACCTACATATGCATCACCATCACCTGAAGGACTTGTGGAAACATGAACTCCTGGGCCCCATCTCAGCATTTCTGATTTGGCACATCTGGAGGGGCCCCAAGAATCTGCATTTCTAGTAGTGCTGGTGCTGCAGGTCCAAGGCCCTCACCCTGAGATCCACTCAGGAAACATTTATGAGCATCAACCTGAGAGCAGGTATCTGTCCTCAGGGATGCAGAATGAATAAAACATAGTTCTGCCTTCATGAGAATAACGGATATCAAATCAATCAACCCCTTTATAATGCAATCGCATTCTCGAATCTCTATTTCTTCACGGAAAAAAAATAAAATATGCAGTGCATGATAGGAGCTATTTCTCCAACACCATCATCCATGCCTACAGAGGAAGGGATTTTCAGAAATGATGACTGCCACATGTCTATTCTCCTGCCCTCTATTTTCACACTTCAGTGGTATAGTCTGGTGAAAACAAAGTCTGGCCTGCAAAGGAAAGAATCTGTAGATGTGGAAGTTTGGATTGACAGATCTTGCTAACATAAACAAGCTGGAACTTTCCTTTTCTCCCTACTTCCCTTTATTGAGGGCAATATTTACAGCGAGTAGCATGGATCTGCCTCTTTGATACCCACAAAGCAGCAAAGAATGATCTGATGTGCTTTTTTGAAGGCTGTCAGGATTGGATAATCATATGTTTATCCCCTGTGACACATGTTGAAAGACATGAGAGCCAGATGAACATAGCAATGAAATCTATTAGAAAGACACCAAGCCAATGAAGGAACAAAAGCAATGGTCTGACAGGAAGGATCCTGTTTTTTTTTTGTTTTTTTTTTTGCTGTTGTTGTTGTTGCTCATGAGCTGCACTGTCAAATATTTGTATTTGTGCTGATGGTGTCTTGAAAAGTTCTTGGGCCAGCTCTGCAAGAATGCATGCACTTGACAAAACGAAACTCAATAACAACTGAACAAATGTTTCTTTTATTTCGAAGGCCAAGCACTTGGCTTTAGAAGGAAAAGGGAGTCCTGTGAATTGCTTCGCTTTGAGAACTATTTGTCAGTCCCCATAATATGCTACTTCTGCCTGATGTGGGCAGGCCTATTGTCTATCATTAAGAAATCAGCTGGTTTTTAAGAGAATGACTAGGTGGATATCAGCAGGCACCTCAAATCTAGATGGCTGGTCATTTCTCTAGTGCTCACATAAACAGTTTACAAATGCATAAGTATGTTATTCATAAGACACTCTCTTGTAGGTAGTTAAAATGTTCAGTGCTGTAGGAATAAAGAAAATCAAGAGCTTTCTCCAACTCCCTTGCCCTGACACATTTGAGAGATATTTTATTGTTAAAAAAACAAAGCCTTGTTGTCTGCCTAGCCAGTTTGAATTAACGTGGTGGTTGATTTTTTTAAAATGAAATTTGTATTGAACGTGGAAGAAAATAGATTTACTTAAAAGTACATGCACAAGGATGCATCTGAATTTGTACTGTTAGTATTTTCATTCCACTGTTGTGGTTGTTCCTTATTGCTCCATTTTAGATTCAATTCCCTCCATTCAGAATATATTTATGGAGCATTTTCTAGGTGCCAGACACATAGACACCAGGAAGATGAATATCCGGGTCCTTGATTTTAAGATGTGCACAGATCTGTTTTCCATCTTAATGACCTAATTTCCATTACTATCATCCACAAATAATATTCATACACATAGTTCTACCTTTTGTTAAACCTCTCCAACTTATAAAGGATCTCATTTGTACAACCCTGTTTATCCTTCCTGTCCTTAAGCACAGGAGGGATGCTTGTCCTGGATCCCTGGCCCATTCATCCTCAGCGGCTGCTTCTGCTCTTTCTAGGGCTCTCTGGTTCAAAGGTGCACATCTTAGATTTAGGGATTCACTTAGATTATTCTCACGCTAACAGTCTGGAATTCCTGTGAAATAGTTCAAGAAAAAATTGATAGATTGTATTATGTAGAAAAATTTCTATGTACATGTATGAACATAAGCAAAGTTAAAAAGACGACATACTGGGAAAAAATGTTTTCAACTTACATGGAATATAAAAAGATAGCTCCCAATATGTATTTTTAAAACACTGTTAAATATAACAAAAAGGATAAAAATCCCTATAGCAAAAAATGGGAGAATGGCACCGATAGACAATTTACAGTAAAGATATACAAATGCTTTACATCTATGAAGTGTTCAACCTCACTCATGCTTGCACATGCCAATTATAACTGCACTGACATGCCATCTCTTAGCTATCAGATGGGAAGTACTCAGAGGCTCAATAAATATTCTGTTTGAGACTTGGTGTAGAAATTGTTATTCTCCTACATTTCTGATAGGAATGCAAGAGGAAAGCATCCTAAGGAGGAGGATTTGGCGGGACCTAACAAGACCACAGTGCATTGACCCTTTGGCCCAGCAATGTCACTTCTAGGACTTCATCTTGAAAATCCACCTCCAGAAATGCAAAGCATCATAGGCAGAAGATCATTCACTGTGGCTTCATACGTAATAGCACAATATTACAAAAAATAAAAATGCTGATTTGTAGAAGATTGGTTAAATAAATTATGATATATCAGCGCTGTTTTTTTACAAAAGGAATGAGGAATATCTGTATTCATTGATATGTAGTGACTTTGAGGATATACTATTTAAATTAAAAACTAAGCACTACACACATACATTCATATATATATATGTATACATCTGCAGATTTTGTACAAATAAAGGGATTTTTTTTTCAAAAATAAATACAAAAGAATAAAAGATAAAATACTGGAATGATTCCCTAAGAAATGGGAAAATACTGGGCCAGGCGCGTTCGCTCAAGCCTGTTAATCTCAGCACTTTGGGAGGCTGAGGCGGGGGGATCACGAGGTCAGGAGATCAAGACCATCCTGGCTAACAAGGTGAAACCTCGTCTCTACTAAAAATACAAAAAAATTAGCCGGGCGTGGGTGGTGGGTGCCTGTAGTCCCAGCTACTCGGGAGGCTGAGGCAGGAGGATGGCATGAACCCGGGAGGCAGAGCTTGCAGTGAGCCGAGATTGCGCCACTGCACTCCAGCCTGGGACACAAAGCGAGACGCCGTCTCAAAAACAGAAAGAAAAAAACAACAACAAAAAAAAGAAATGGGAAAATACTGAAATGGTTCCCTAAGTTTAGTGGGGGTGGTTTAGAGGAGATAGAAATTGGGTGGAGTAGACATTTATCATTGTACACACTTTTATTTATTTGTTTATTTTAATTTTTTAAATTTTTTATTTTTTGAGACAGAGTCTCATTCTATCGCCCAGGCTGAAGTGCAATGGCTTGATCTTGGCTCACTGCAACCACTGCCTCCCTGGTTCAAGCAATTCTCCTGCCTCAGCCTCCCGAGTAGCTGGGATTACAGGCACGCACTACCAGGCTCAATTACTTTTTGTTTTTAGTAAAGATGGGGTTTCACCACGTTGGCCAAGCTGGTCTCAAAATCCTGACCTCAAATATGTATACTTCTATAGTTTTGACTTTTGAATGGTATTAGACTATTTCGTTTAAAAGTAAAGTAAAAAACACAAATAAGAAGATCTCTAATATTAAAAAGAAAATTAATTAACCATGTATAAAATTGATAACATTAGTACGTAATAAAAATGGATGTTGCTGTATGCCCATATTCTCCTGGTGGAAGAAAGGAGATTCAAATTTGGAAAAAAGGTTGGAATTGGAAGTATCAGTAGGAAATCCACTGAAGAGAGACTAGGAGAAACTCCAGTAGCAATGAGCACACCTAATGTTCAAATCTTGATTGAAATACCAAGCTGAAAAGAACCAGGTGCCTTGAAGAAAATGCTGATTCCGAGTTATGGGAAGGAAAAAGACATGGTCACGCTGGAACATAGTGGTGTGCCTAAAAGCAAGAGAATGCTCAAAATATGATGTATGCATGCAAAAAAATCACAAGATTCATCAAATTCAGGCAATTGAAGGATAAGGATAATGATATTAATGAATTATAAAAATATAAAACAAAAATATGAGTCCACACAGATAGTAAAGGGGAAAAATGTAGAAGGAAATTCTGTACAGAATAATAGCCAACAGGTATAGAAGGAATGATGGAATTCCATAATCACCAATTTAAACCTCCACTATAATCATTGATTAGAGCAAGGATCACCAGGTGATACTAAATGACCAGATGAAAGGTTTTGGGTCCAGATGAACCTCTTCAATGAGATACCTAGTAGATACTACCCTCTCCAAGCGAGCAAAGTAACAATACCAGTGATGCAGAGAACTGAAGTTGTGTGCCTTCTCGTATGCTGCTGTGGGAAGCCCAGTAACCACCATCAACAAAGTTTAACTTCAATCTAATCGTGACATACATTCAGAATATGAAACACTCCACAAGAAAATGGGCCTATTCACACATGTCATTGTCATAAAAGTCGCACATCAAAACAGGTTAAAGGGATGTGGCAAGATGAGGTTCTTGACTGGATTTTGGACACCCCCTCCACAATAATGCTGCTATCAAGCATGTTGTTGAAACAACTGGTTCAATGTTAACATAGACTGTCTGTTAGGTAATATTATTTATCAATGTTAAATTCCTTTCCGGCGACAATGATATTGTTGCTATGCAGGAGAATGTCTTTGTTCTCAGCAGTTATATGCTGAAGTATTTAGAGGTAAAGTGTGAAGTTGTCCACATCTTATTTTGAAGGGTGCAATAACTAAATAAATGAAGAAAGGGAGAGAGAGCGAGGTAGGGAGGACATGAAGGGGAGGGAGGGACACAAAGAGAAAGATTTTGAGCAAGAAAGAAACGGAGGGAGGATATGCAGAGAGATGTAAAAAGCAGAAAACATACTTTCTGCTTTTTGCAACAAATGATTTTTGTTTGATCTTTTTGCAAACAATGATTTTTAGGGGTTTATTGCATTTTTCTTTCAGCTTTTCTGTGCACTTAAAATTAAAAAGCTAAAAAAAAAAGCAGGCAGGAAAGGGAAGAATGCACAACTTTTATAAATAAAGAAGGAGGAGCAGGAGCAGAAACTAAAGAAGAGGGGAGAGGAGGAGGAGGGGGAGGAGGTGGAGGAGGCCTAAGAAGGAAGTGGCTTGAGGAGGAGGAAAGAGAAGGAAGAGGGAGGGTGGACAAGGAGGGGGGAGGAGGATGGATGGAGGAGGAGATGGAAGGAGGAAGGACAAGGAGGAATGTGGAGGGAAGAAACAGGAAGGAGAGGATGGAGGGAAGAGGTGGAGGGAGAAGTGAGCAGAAGGAGGGGGAGGAGAATGGGAGATAAGTGTTATTAGTATTACCCAGCCCCACAGAATACTACTCAGCATCTTTCTCTGTATATTTTTCCATGGCCACACATGTTTACATGCACTATTTTCCTCTGAAATTATCTCTATGTGGAACATCCCGTGAGTAGCTTGTGTCGGGCAAAACCAGAGCCTGGGTAGCAGATGGCATAGCTTTGTAGCTGTCATGACTTAAATGGCCACTTTGATTTTCATTGCTTCACTTCATACAAATTCCCCAATGTAGGCTTGGTGCTACAGGTCCCTGCACGAGGGAGACATTTCCTTAGCCTAACCACGTTGTTTCCTACTGAAAGCAAATGACTTTGCTATGTCTTCCACTTTTACTCTTAGCGGCGATAATCACCTCAACAGCAAATGGATTAGCCATATATTTTTCTTGTCTCTATGCCCATATCTCTTTCTTAAAGAATTTCTACAAGGCTGCGAAGCCTTTGAGGCCAAGGACAATATTCTTCGCTCCTTTGATTGCCAGATTCTATCATTGTGCTGGCACATAGTAGGTGCTTAACAAATATTAACTGAAAAACTGGATGAATGTCACATACATCTAAAAGATTTTCATAAGGATTTAAAATTATTTGTATTGATCTCCTCTTCATTGTTCTGACAAAAATATATTCTAGGAATTAAAATGAATATGCGAAGTGTGGATAACCAAGATTAGCCCTGTGCAGGCCTCATTATGTGGATTAATATTTGCAAACCCTTGATGAGTTTCTTCTTCTTAAATTGAATAATGACTTTTGTCATAAAGGAAAAAAAGTTAATTCACAGGATATTTTGGCTTTAATGTTTTCCATATATTTTCTTAAACCCTTGACAATCTGAAAATCCAGGATAAGATATTATTGAATTTAGTCAATATTTTGTGCCATGTTGTAAATTAGGACATATTCCATATACACATTTTTGCAAAGCTAGAAATGTTTGAACACCATTGGTATGGTGTTCACTTGGTGACTACAATAGAAAACAGTGGGTAGGTAGGACATGGTGTTTTTATACTCAGGCAGATATCATTTCTCTCACCAACTAGGTCAAAATTGTGCATCTTTGAAGGTCACAATATTTCACAGCCTCAATTTTCTCAATTTATAACAAAACTACGCTTGGTATAGTAGCTGTTTGTGAAGAAGAAAGGAGATAGTTACCATGGTCTTCTATATGGCTCATGGATAGCTTTCAGGTCACGTAAGAACCTTCCAAAACTATATGTGAAGTGTGTGTGTGTGTGTGTGTGTGTGTGTGTACATGTGTGTACCTAAGTATATTTCCCTGGAGATAAGTTCATCTTTTTGGACTCTCAAAAAAAATCTATGAGCAAAGGATTTTAAAAACCAGTGCAAAATGTGCACACTGTAAGGAAGTTGATATTCAGACATACAAAATATCAATATGTGCACCCAACTGTTTATTCAGAAACCTCTTCTATTTTGTGGGGTTGCAATAGTGGGCAGTGAAGAGAATGTATGTTGAGTGTTGGGTCAGGAAGATGGGTACCATTCTAACCCCATTGTTCAATGGTTGCAGAATGGTGGGCAAGTTCTTTGGCCTCTCTAAACCTCAGTTTCTCTTTTCTAAACTGAGAAGAGATCTTATTTCAAGAATGGCTTTTCTGTGAAGATTACACAAGGAAAAGAATGTTAAATGACGAGTTAATGGGTGCAGCACACCAACATGGCACATGTATACATATGTAACTAACCTGCACGTTGCGCACATGTACCCTAAAACTTAAAGTATAATAAAAAATATATTGCAAAAAATATCCCTTAAGTGTTGATCCAAGTGACTCCCACTTTTAATGTTACCACTTTCACTGCCCCTTTGATTTTTCATTCCTCGAATCAAGTCATCTCCATTTGCTCAGTGTTTTCTTACTAATATTATTTTTGCACTTGTCTTCATGAAGAGATGTAGTTTTGTTCTTCCTCTGTTGCTTGGTGTAGAACACCTATCAGACCACTGGCCTCTGACAAGTCCTGTGGACTGCAGTCAGCCCTTGTCAGCCATGGGAAACACAGCTGCAAAATGAATCATCTGCCCACTGAGGATCCACGCAGCTGGGAGAATCTTATTGTTTTACTGTCACTGAGTTTCCATGAGGTCTTTCACGTTTGTCCATACTGCATAGTTATGAACGTGAAGAACACTAACATTAGTTCTTATTACTTTTTACTTTCTGGGTGCTTGTTCCGCTTCCTTGTGCATTCCATGAGGACGTATCATTGGCAACAAGTTATGACTGCTGTCCCTTTCTCCAGTTGAAGGGACCAGGACAATAATGCAGGGGGTGCAATTCTACAGTGGGATACTAGAGACTGAATTTTGGAAAAAAAGGTCTATTAGAATAACTAAAAGAATAAATAATGTAAGCTATATCTTTAAAAGATGTTTTCATTGAGTAGAGAATTCTAAGCTGAAAGTATTTTCTTTCAGTATTTAAACAAGAGTACTCCAGTATTTTCTTGTTTCTATAGTTTCCAATAAGAAATCTACTATTATCTTTATCTTTATTCCTTTGTACATAACATGCCTTTTTCTGTTATAGTTTCAGTACTTTTTTCTAGATAACGGGTTTTAAGCAATTTAATTTTGGTGTAATTTACTTTGTGTTTCTAAGCTCATGGGGTTTTTTTTTTTTGAGCTACTTAGCTTTACAAACATATATGATACAATTATAGTAACTTCTTAAAATGTCATTGTCTGCTAAATTTAACATCTGTTTTACTGTTTGTTCCAACTGATTAATTTTTATCCTTATTATGTGTTATATTTTCTTGCTTTTTATGCCTAATAATCTTTGAATATATGCCAGATATTGTGACTTTAATTTCTTGAGTACTGGATATTTCTGTGTTCCTGTTAATCCTCAGCATTTTTTTTTCTGGGATGGATTCAAGTTATTTAGAAATAGTTAGGTTCTTTACATTTTGCTTAGACAATTTTTTAAGGTAGGATTAGAGCAGTGGTCAGTCTAGGGGTATTTATTCCCCATGAGTAAAGCCAGACCCTTGTGTTTGCCCCACCCAGTGCCCTGTGAATCATGAGATTTTCCCGTCTACCTTGTGAAAATTAACTATTCATGACACTGTGTTACATGGGATACTCTTTATTATAATCCATTCAAGTGGATCTTATTCTGGTCTCAGGTAGTCTCACTTGTAAATACTAATCATTAATCAGCTAAATATGTAGTTGGGTGGACTCTACAGCTCTCTGGGGTTGTCTCTTTGTAAAACTCTCTCTTCATTCCAAGATGATTGCCAGGAGTGGGGCACTGGATGCTCATCTGTATTGACTATCAGACCTGCAGGACATGGGTTAGTCTCATTCAGAGACTCACTATCAGGCCAGCTCAGAATGAAGCATGGTAAGCTTTCTTCCAATGGGAGTAGACAAAATTGTGTCATTATAGGTTCAATTATAAGGGGACCTCTCAGCTTTAGCCTGTGCTGAGTCAATGCCCATCCAGTGAGCTGGTGGAAAACACCCAGTAGAAATCTTGGTCAATAGGAACTGAGGGTCATCCAAACAAACAAACAAAATCATGCAAAGGACATTGTAGTAGCTATGCCTGTGACCCAGGGACTTCAGCATAGTGGTCAGAGGAAAGTAAGGATTCTCAGAAAAACATGTTCATAGTTTCTCAGAACAATATGGGTACAAGAATGTTAATAGCAATTTAATGTTTGCTGGGACACACACACACACACACACACACACACACACACACACACACAGCACATATCTACAAAAGAAGAAAATAAAGAAGAAGAGAGAGAAACAAAGACAAAATCAAATATAAGGAGATTTCCAAAAAGTTAAAGATATTAATTCTCAAATGCACTTAATTTAAGAATATTGTTTTAGAATGACTTGAACAGAAAATGATACAAGAAATGAGCACACCATGGACTTTTCATCCACTTCCCACTTGCCAAACCTCCAAATGTGACTTACCACCCATCCTCTCAAGCATTAGCAACTCCAAGAGTTACGGTGCTTTCTGTAAGATCAGTGGAAATTTTAGGATGTTAGCCCACCAGCAACATGTGGGAGGTACCACCTAGAGGCATCATTTGGAAAGACACTTAGCAGAGGAAGTGAGACACTGTGTGAGGAGCAAATAAATAATAATCAGTCAATTTGGGATTAGTGCATTAATGTGACCTTACTTTCACCATGAAACTAGATATACTCTGCAAAAATCAGCCTCTAGTTTGGGAGGAGGTCTTAGCTCATATCTTAGGTGGTGTTCTGTGTTTCTGCTGTCCATTATGGTAGCTACTTGCCACATGTGGCTATTTGGGACTTGAAATGTGCCCATTTAACTAAAAATTAATTTTCAACTTTACTTAACCTTAATTAATTTAATTCAAACTTAAATAGTCACTTGTTTTAGCCAGTGTCTGCCATAGCAGACCACATTGACTGAGAGCATAGTGAGTTGACAATGTAGGCTCTAGAACTAGATGCCAAGTCGTAAATCCCAACTTTCACTTTTGCTAGCTGTGCATCCTTGGGCAACCTATCCTTTTCGCACCTTAATTGAACATTTTTAATGTTAGAAAAAATGATTATAATCACCTTATAGTTCTATTGTGAGGATAAAGTGATGATACTTATGCAAAGTGCTTAGAAAATATGTGGTGTATACTAAATGCTCAATAAGTTAGCTACCATTAATCTTATCACCTTCATTATTTTTTCCTCTTATCTACTGGCGCTTATATAATTCTGCACACCAATAGTCAATAAATGCCCTTAGCCACCACGCAGTATTCTTTCTATCATTTTCTTTCACCGCAAACTTAAAATAAATTTCTGGTGGAGTGATAGAGGAGGATGTGGCTGATGCTAGAAGCCTTTTCCAGTTTTGATATTGAGACTAGGGTAGGAAATGAATTATGGAATGTGCAGAAAAGACAGAGTAGAGCCCTAAATAAATGGTCTATTCAGAAGAGGATGCAGAAGATCTGAATTATGGGACTTTCAAAGGATTGTTTATAGTAAGTAAATCTGCATCTACTGGCATTTTGGGCTTTTTTAGATCTGGCAGCAGCACTCTGATCAAGATAGAGAATTTCCATCAACATACAGCGTTTTCTCATCCACAGTAAATCCCAATCTCCTATAGGCAGTCATCTTCTTATTTCTATCACCATAATTTTTTGTGCCTAGCTTATTTCTTTATTGACATTTCAATGCGATATTTCCAAGCTTCAGTCATGTTGTTGTATTATATTTGTAGTTCATTCTTTTTCCATTTCTGAGTTTTATTCCATTATATGCTACAATTTTTTTATCCATTGTCCTATTGATAAACAATTGGTGTTTTCCACTTTGAGTATTATGAATTGAGTATTAACATTCTTGTACACATATTTTTGTAGACATGTGCTTTTATTTACCTCTCTTAAATTTTTAAAATTATTATTATTTTTTATTTTACTCTAAGTTCTGGGATACATGTGCAGAATGTGCAGGTTTGTTACATAGGTATACATGTGCCATTGTGGTTTGCTGCACCTATCAACCCATCATCTAGGTTTTAAGCCCCGCATGCATTAGGTATTTGTCCTAATGCTCTCTCTCCCCTTGCCCCTCAGCCCTCAACAGGCCCTGGTGTATGATGTGCCCCCTGTGTCCATGTGTTCTCATTGTTCAACTCCCACTTATGAGTAAGAACATGCAGTATTTGGTGTTCTATTCCTGTGTTAGTTTGCTAACAATGATGACTTCCAACTTTATCCATGTCCTTCCAAAGGACATGAACTCATTCTTTTTTATGGCTGCATAGTATTTCATGGTGTATATGTACCACATTTTCTTTATCCAGTCTATCATTGATGGGCATTTGGGTTGGATCTGTTTTTGCTGTTATAAATAGTGCTGCAATAGACATGCATGTGCATGTGTCTTTATAGTAGAATGATTTATAATCCTTTGGGTGTATACCCAGTAATGGGATTCCTGGGTCAAATGGTATTCTAGTTATAAAACCTTGAGGAATTGCCACACTGTCTTCCACAATGGTTGAACTAATTTACACTCCGACCAACAGTGTAAAAGTGTTCTTATTTCTCCACAGCCTTGCCAGCATTTGTTGTTTCCTAACTTTTTAATAATCACCATTCTAACTAGTGTGAGATGGTATCTCATTGTGGTTTTGATTTGCATTTCTCTAATGACCAGTGATGATGAGCTTTTTTTCGTATGTTTGTTGGCCGCATAAATGTCTTCTTTTGAGAAGCGTCCATTCATATCCTTTGCCCACTTTTTGATGGGGTTGTTTTTGTGTTGTAAATTTGTCTAAGTTCCTTCTAGATTCTGAGTATAGACCTTTGTCAGATGGGTAGCTTGCAAAAATTTTCTCCTATGCTGTAGGTTGCCTGTTCACTCAGATGATAGTTTCTTCTGCTGTGCAGAAGCTCTTTAGTTTGATTGGATCCCATTTGTTAATTCTTGCTTTTGTTCCAATTGTTTTTGTGCCAAATTGTGAAATTGCAGGGTCATAGGGTGGGTGTTTATAAGAAATTGCCAAACAGATTTTGAAAGTGTAGTAGTGCTATTAAACATTCCTACCTAGCAGTGCATGATAGTTCTGGCTACTTCATTTTCTCACCCGCATTTGATACTATCAGTTGTCAATTGTTTTGAGTCATACTAGTGGTTTTAAATGGTATCTCATTATAGTTGTGTATTTCATGTCCTTCAATACTGATGATGTTGAGAAGCAATCTTAACTGCTTTAAATATTTTCTCCTTTTCTACTATATTATAGTATTTCAAGCTTTTTTTTTTCTTCCCTAGGCTAGGTTTCGGCTGCTCATTGCATCTCACAAATATTTTTATGTGGTGTTTCCATTGATATTCAGTTTAGAATATTTTCTAATTTCCCTTGTGATTTCTTATTTAAGCCAGGAGTACATAGTGGTATGCCAATTAATTTGCAATACTTCTTGATAACTTAGAAGGTTAATGTTTAATTTAATTTATTTGTGTTCAAATAACAGGCTTTGTGAGATTTCAAATATTTTTCATGTATTGAGACTTGTTTTATGGCTCAGCATATGGTCTATCTTTGTGAACATTTTATGTGCATTTGAGAAAAGAATATGTATTCTGAGGCCATTAAGTGTAGTGCTGTGTAATTGTCAGGCCTAATTGAGTTGTACTGTTGTTAAAATCTTTTACGTATTTACTGATTTTTGGACAATAGCTAAATCAATTGCAGGGAGGGGGGGTAAAAATCTCCAGTTGTGATAGATAATTTATCTATTTCGCCATTTAGTCAGTTCTTGCTTCATGTATCTTGAGGCTCTGTAATGAGGTACATATGAATTTGCAATTGTTATGCCTTCCTGAATAATTGATCATTGGTCTGCTGGTGTCTCTCATTCTTCATTTATGTGAAAGTGCTTTTATTTTGCCCTGATTTTTGAAGGCTAATTCTGTAGACATAGAATTCTAAAGTTTTTTTTTCTTTCAAACTTTAAAGATGCCATTTCATTACATGACTGGCTGAACACTTTGAACTTACAGAGGCGTGGTTTTATGTACTTCGATGGAGCAGGTTGGTAGAAAGCAGAAAGGATTTACCAAGACCCTCTGACTTGTCAGGACCCTCTGACTTGGCAGGATTTAGACTAAAAACTTTCTCCGTTATGTGGAAACTCTTGCTTTCCTGGGGGTCCTTGGAGTTTTCTCTGTACATGCATAGTGCAGGTGTCCCAAGGGGATCTGAGAATAGTTGGGGCTTCCCCTTTTCAAGGATTTTTCTCTCAATTTCCTATTACTCTAGTAGCCTTGAACGCTGTCTTCTGACACTTCAAGGCAACAAGAATGGCATTCTTCGTGAGTTTTGGTTGTTCCCTGCCTTAGGGACTGTGGTGTATGCTATAAGCATGAGTGAGTGTGGTTCTCCTCTTTCAAGGCTTAACTCCCATCTGGGTTCTGCCTGCTTTTGATGCTCCTTGCTGCCTTTGCTATCTTTGTGACCTTGAGTCCTATACATGTGGCTCCACAATTACAGTCTCCAGAACTCCAACCTTGTATCTTTCTTTACTGTCTTATTCTGCACTCTATAAAACAGCAGATAGCCATTAAATATTTGTTGATTTCATTTTATATTTTTACTTTATAGAAGTACTTAATTTGAAAGAATATTGAAGGGCCCTTAGCCTTCTATTAAAGGTAATAAAATAAGATATCTCAAAAAAGCAAACAGTTGGAAATTAAATGGCACAGCTCTAAGTAACCCATGGGGAGAATATCAATACTGGTTGTGTGAGCCAGTTGCAGTGGCTCACACTTGCAATCCCAGTGTTTTGGGAGGCCGAGGTTAGAGGATCACATGAGCCCTGGAGTTTAAGACCAGCCCAGGCAACATAGCAAGATCCTGGCTCTCCAAAAAAGAAAATTAAAAATTAGCTAGGTAAAGTGGTGTGTGCAAGTAGTCCTAACAACTTGGGAGGCTGAGGTGGGAGGTGAGCTCAGGAGTTTGTGGCTGCAGTGAACTATGATTGAGCCACCGTACTCCAGCCTGTGCAATAGAGCAAGATGTCTCTAAAATACAAAACAACAAAAAACACTGGTTGTAAGTATTCCATAAAAGGACTAGAAAAACATGTGTTACCCTTGCCCCTAGGGTTGCCATATTTAGTAAATACAAGTACAGGACACTCGGTTAGATTTAAATTTCAGATTCACAAATGATAATTTTTGTTATAACTATGTTTCATGTAATATTTGGGATATACTAAAATGGCTTTGTTATGTATCTAAAATTCAGATTTAACTGAGTGTCCTGCATTTAATCTGTCAACACAACTCCCTCCTCCCTCTTTTCCTTGCCTCCTGCTTGTTTCCATGCAGCAATATCAAGCCACGAGCTGTCACAATTCATGAGCTTTGGACTTTGGGCATCATGGGATATCTGGCTGTGGAATGGAAGAAACACTTTGGCAGACTTCCTGATTATTCACGTTATATATTTTCTTCTCTCTAAACACTGTGATGAAGTGGGAGGTAGGGACAGAATGTAGAGCCCACAGCTGGGCTTAGAATCATCCCAGTGAGAAACAGCTGCCTGGTTAGCTGTGTGCTTGTGGACTTGGCATGTCCACAATGGCCATGGTTGGAGTGGGGCAATGAAACCTCTTGCAAATACCATGATTTCTTCTCTTTCCAAAAGTATTCTAAGGAAAATTTGTTCAAAAATAGTACGTTTGTCTTACTGGGTGGCAATTACCATAGAACTCATTTCCGTCAGCTAATTCCCATTGTATGGGGTTTATCACAATTTATTCACAAATTACTTTATCATACTTTATCAATGATGTAACTCCAAATTTTCATCATTGGAAATAAATGAAGATTGACCAAATAAGAACAGGCAGAAGCAGTTCAGAGTTTGCTGTATCACGGGAGTCAGCCACCATCACTTGCCTTTTGGCTAAGATGCTAAGGCAGACAAGGAGTGGGAGAGCTTTGTAGTGGACAGAAGGAAGGCTTCAGTGTGCCCTGATGGAGGCTGTTGGCATGGGAAGCTGGAGGAAGACTCACCAAAAGTGGGTATCTTATGGGATTGGTTAGAGGAGTATATTTGTTTTTTTCTGGTTGGTCCTAAGTTGGAAGCAGGTAAAAAAGCATTAGGGAAGCTTTCAGAGTTTAATTAAATCTTAGCTATTTTGTTACAGGAATTACTATTTGGCTTCTGGGACTGGTTGCTAGAGACCTTGGTCTGATTTCCCGTAAGTCTGGCTTACAGATAACAGGCTGGATTCCTGGGGGCTGTTTCCTGTAGATAAGGGGTTGGTGTCCTGGCCTTGCTGCTGCAGACTGTGGGTCAGAGTTCTTTTGTTATATATGTTCTGGCCATTGTCCATCTGTATATTCAGGCTCTCAATTATTAGAAATTATGCTGATTTATTGCCTCTGCATATCTTGCTCTTCTTACTCAAAACTGAATTGCCTATTTTTGCCCTACACTTGTATATAAATGTTAGAATCAATTTGTTGAGGTAAAACATACACACACAAACAAAATTAAAATTTAAAAATTCTGTTATGGAAAACCGAACACCCCATGTTCTCACTCATAAGTCGGAATTGAACAGTCAGAACACATGGACACAGGGAGGGGATCATCACACACCGGGGCCTGTTGGGGGGTGGGGGGCAAGGGGAGGGAGAGCATTAGGACAAGTACCTAATGCATATGGGGCTTAAAACCTAGATGACAGGTTGACGGGTGCAGCAAACCACCATGGCACATGTATACCTATGTAACAAACCTGCACATTCTGCCCGTATATCCCAAAAGTTAAAGAAAAATTTTAAAAAATAGAAAAAGAATAAAAATTCTGTTATGAATAATTAGAAACTTCAATAAGAATTCTTACACTCCAATATTATCTATTTCAGGTACATGTTGGATTGTTTGATTAATAGCAACTTTTCTAGACTCTTATTTCTCCTTGTTTATGTTGGAATTCTTTATTCCAGTTACACATAAATGTAGCCAGTACTTGTAATACCCTCCCTTTGTCCCTAGTGCCTGAGGTCTCACAGGGGAGGGTCATGGGGTCGGTGTTCCCATCCATTGTGCTGATCCATCAGTGGACACTTAGAGGTTTGATCTGGGGTCAAGAAACTATAGTCCATGGGGGAAATCTGGATCATAACCTGATTTTCTGATTGGCTCACAATCTAACAATGTTTTTACATTTTTTAAATGGGAAGAAAGAAGAAGAGGAGCAAGAAGAGGCTGAGAAGAAACAGAAGATTTTGTGACATGTGAACATTGCATGACATCCAAAGTTCAGTGTCCATAAATAAAATGTTATTGGTATACAGCTGGTCTCCTTCACTGATGGGTTGCCTGTATCTATGGATGTGCTTTAACAGCAGAGTTGAGTCATTGTGACATAGACAGAAAAGGGAACGTGGCTGGTAAAGCCTGAACTGTTTTCTATTGGGTTCTTTACAGGATGTTTGCTGACCCCTGGGCTAGATTCCACATTCTCAATGGCTGAGTAATTTTCTTGAATTTTTTTTTTTTTTTTTTTTAGACAGAGTCTTACTTTGTCGCCCAGGATGGAGTGCAGTGGCGCGATCTCAGCTCACTGCAACCTCTGCTTCCCGGGTTCAAGCGATTCTTTTGCCTCAGACTCCCGAGTAGCTGGGACTACAGGTGCCTAAACCATGCCTGGCTAATTTTTGTATTTTTAGTAGAGACAGAGTTTCACCATATTGGCGAGGCTGGTCTCGAACTCCTGACCTTGAGATCCGCCTGCCTCGGCCTCTCAAAGTACTGCGATTACAGGCATGGGCCAGCACGCCCAGCTGATTTTTTTTTTTTTAAATAATTTTCTCCCATCCATATTCTGTTCTCTTTTTCAGAAATTTGTATTATGTAAACATTGTATGTCCTGGGCTGCTTTTTCATTTTGTAAATTTTTCTCCCCAAACTTTCTTTTTTCCTATAAAGTTTTAATAGCTCTGCAAAATCTGTGACAAGATTTCTCATTAATTAGAATTATAAACAATTGAGCAACCCTCTGGATCTATATTTTTATGTGTCATTATTGAAAAGGATGAATATTACATAAAATTGCGATGTTCAATAAAATTACTACAGTCGTCTTCAAACTACATGCTGCTCGATGGTAGCAAAATATAATATTGACATTAAGAAGACACGGTCAAGAAAATATGTCTCTTAAAAATACCTTCCTTGAGTAATAGTTACGAGTGGAGGCATAATATAGCAAGATAAAATACTTAAAAATATTGAGAGACTTCCTTATTCTGTTGGTTTTTCCTGTACATTTTCCCAAATTAAAATTTAAAAGCAAGAGAATATGCTTAATGATATGTTTATTTTGAGGTGCAAATTTTGTTTCTTATAAAACAGGCAAAACTCTGTCAAAATAAGATTCCATCATTTTCATGGCCTGGTGTTCTTTAATTAGTGAAGTAGAAGGTTTTAAATGCACTGTCATCAAAGGAAAAAGTAAAATCTTTGTGTATATCATAACTAAATAACCACATGCTTTAAAGAATTGATATTAAAATCAAATATAATTTCCCTTTTAATAACATGAGAGACTTCACTTAATACATATGAGGCTGACATCTGAGTCTTTCATGCTACTCCTGTCGTGACAACTGTATTAAACCTTTCCAGTGTGACACTTTTCAACTCTGAAAATAATATGACTGCATCCATGTAGAGCTTCCATTTTCACAGAGTTGACAGAATGCGGATGCTGACTGCCTTACCTCTGCAGACTGTCTCAAGCTATCCCAGGCTGTGAAAAACATGCGTCCCGCTCTCAGCATAGACACATAAATGATGCTCCACTCACAAACCATGGGCCCTCACTTACTGACCTGGATGTGCCTGGATTCTCCAGAGCGATCCAGGGGACCTGTCAAGAACATTTTGGCTGCCAGACCGGAAGATACACATGCATGCGCGCACACACACACACACACACACACACACAGGTAGGGCTGCTGCTCAGTGCTCAGGGGGGCAGTCCAGTTTGCCTAGAGTCTAGGCACCTGTGCCTAAAAGCAGAAACAAACTGAGAAACAGAAAAGGAAGATCAGAAAGGATGAAAAACACATGTGTTATTCCCTCATATTCCATTTCCTATGTGTTTTGTTTTTTTATTTATTTTATTTTATTTTATTATTATTATACTTTGAGTTTTAGGGTACATGTGCACAATGTGCAGGTTAGTTACATATGTATACATGTGCCATGCTGGTGTGCTGCACCCATTAACTCGTCATTTACATTAGGTATATCTCCTAATGCTATCCCTCCCCCCTCCCCCCACCCCACAACAGTCCCCAGAGTGTGATGTTCCCCTCCCTGTGTCCATGTGTTCTCATTGTTCAATTCCCACCTATGAGTGAGAACATGCGGTGTTTGGTTTTTTGTCCTTGCGATAGGTTACTGAGAATGATGATTTCCAATTTCATCCACGTCCCTACAAAGGACATGAACTCATCATTTTTTATGGCTGCATAGTATTCCATGGTGTATATGTGCCACATTTTCTTAATCCAGTCTATCATTGTTGGACATTTGGGTTGGTTCCAAGTCTTTGCTATTGTGAATAGTGCCGCAATAAACATACGTGTGCATGTGTCTTTATAGCAGCATGATTTATAGTCCTTTGGGTATATACCCAGTAATGGGATGGCTGGGTCAGGTAATTCCAATTACTTATTAGTAGGTTTCTTCTCACCTCATTTGTGTACTCAGTTATTCATTTGTAACCAAGATCATTCCATTTATTCAACAATTACTCAGAGAGAACCTACTGCTTACTAGTTACTTATCTGGATTCTGGGCATACCACAGGGAAGAAGATAGTAAAAAGCATCTGTCCTCAAGCCTATTACATGTTATACATGAGGAAATGAGTACTTAAAATAGATAATATCAGATAGTGCCAAATGCATGAAGGCAACAGAGCAGGGTAAGACGACAAGCTGTGCTTGTGGGGTGAGGGCCACTTTTAAATGTGGCACTCAAGCCTGGCCAGTGTCAGCAATGACCTAGGCCTGGAATGATGAGGAGCCAACCCTAAGGAGTTCCCTAGGATGAGCACTTTGGGCACAGGGAAAGATCTGAGGCCCTGAAGTGGGATAGAAACAGGGCAGGATGTGCAGGAGGGCTTGGCAGTCACTAGGTCAGAAGAAGAGGAGCATCAGGGAAGTGCTTATGTGATGGAGGGCCTTAAAGGAGAGTTCGTGGGCCTCCCTGCCCCCTCATATATAGATGTGATGGGTTCATTCTCCCCTTTCACTGTTTCTGAATAGCCAACATCCTCTCCTCTCCAGGAGGTCAGTGAATTTCCAGGGGTGTTGCATGACACGTATACCAGTTTTTGATTCCACTGGCGAAGAAGTAGGGCAGCCGAGAGCCATGGCTTTGTCCCAGGTAGCCTTGCTCAGCTCAGCCTTGGCCTCAGCTGGGAGTGGAGCACGGACCTGTTCTCTGATTTTCAGTTCTGCAGGCATTGCCATACCACTGCACCAAACTGTAGGCTGGAGAGTCAGGTGGAAGCATCAATGTGAATGGACGATGTTAAATTAAAGGTATATCAAGGAGGAGGGGGTGGAGAGGGGAAGAAGAGGAATTGTTAGACACTCTAGGTCCTTAGAAAAATCTGCTATCTTCTGCTTCCCAGCCTTGCTCTTCCTATCTTCTCCTCATTTGTGTTCTGTCTCCATCCTCATCTCTGTCAGTGTGTAATTCAGAGTTTATCCACCTCTAATGCTCCCTAGCTTCAAAGTGCTTATGCCCTCAGGGATTTAGTTTCTATTCTAGGCATTTCTTTACCCTAAAGAGGTTTTGTAATGATTCTTTTTAGAGTTAATTTCTTAAAATAAATTTCAGTAACAACGGTTTAAATAAGTTTTTCACCCCATTTTTTAAAAAAAATATTTTTAAAGAATATGCTATGTACCCGATTCTATGGTAGATTTTGGAAATGTTGCTGAACCAGATATTTTGTGAAACTCTCAGTGTATTGGGAGAAAAAAACTCACCTGATAAGTATGCAAAAATTAACCAAATATAATTGTAATGAGGACTGAAAATTAAATTATAATGGGGAATGATGTGATTTTGATGGATTATGGTAGTCTTTTCTAAAGAGGGATTATTTATTCTGAAATTTGAGGCAAGAATAAGAATTAGCCAGGGAAAAGATGGGGCAGGAAATATCCAAGACAGGAAAGTCACAGAAGGGTATGATTTTCTGGGGGAAGAAATTCATGTTTGAAATTACTGGAGTGGTGTCCTTGAGGAATGGGTAGAAGGTCAGTAGGGATTGCAGTAAGAACTGTGATATGGGAGATGAGACAGATAGGTGGAGGGCATATAATGGAAAGCTTTGAAAATTTATGGAGATTTATTTTTTGTTTCTTAAGAGGAAAGGGAGATATTAAAGAAAGGCCTGAACAATTGTACTGGCTTATATCTCTTTCCAGGGACAGGAACTGCATTTAACAGAGTAGGTGGACGCTGCGTGAGTCTACATAAGAACTGACTTCATCGCATGTTCACTTGCTAACAATGGGTGAATGGCCTTTCTAGATTGCCTAGTGACTGGGTAGGGTGATGAGGGGGCCACTTGAGACCTAGTCCCTTAGATCTTTAGACACATAAAAACATTCCATACAAAGAAACTTATCATTGGCCCTGCACAAAGTGGGCAAAAAGCTGTATTTCAAAAAGTATAGAAAATAAAAAATAAGACCATTCCCAACTTTGTATCATACACAAAAGTTAATTTCAGGCATATAATTTACCTCAATATGAAAATCAATAAGATAAAACTTCTAGAAATAGGAGGATATCTTCATGATACTGAGGAAGGATAAGCTGACAAGTTTACTGAAAAGGAGAAAAAAAATTATTAATGACAGCAAAAAGGATTGATAAGTTTGATTGCATGAAAAATAAAAACTACTGTTCATCAAAAAGTCACCTTTAAGAATATATAGAAAATGCACACTGTTTTTACTTTAAATTTTAGAGCAGTTTTAGATTTACAAAAAAAAGTTTCAGAGAAAGTACAGAAGGTTCCTGTATATCCCTACACCTGTTTCCCTATTGTTTACATCTTACATTAACATGATAGATTGGTCCCAACTAATGAAACATATGCATATGGAAACATTCTACGTATGTCTGTTGATACATTGCTGTTAACTAAACTTCATTTGGATTTTTTAATGTCTTTAATTTCTTCAAGGTCCCTTCTAGGAAACCACATTACGTTGAGTTGTTATGTCTCCCTGTGACAGTTTCTCAAACGTACCTTGTTTTTGATGATCTTGAGAATGTTGAGCAGTACTGGTAATTAGCTCTGTACAATTTGGGTTTGTTTGGTGTTTTTCCTTAGGGTTATAATGGGGTTATATTTGAGGGGTGGGGGAAGACCACAGAGATAAAACGTCATTCTCATGATGTTGTATCAAGGGAACATGTTCAACTTGATCCCAGCGCTGAGGTATTGATTGTCATGTGTCTCCACAATAAAGTTCCTCTCCCCTCTGCCCTTTTAGTAAGAAGTGTGCAACCCACAACACACCTAAGGGGTGGGAGTTATGGCCCACCTCTCTGAGGGAGGCAGTATCTACATAAAGTATTTGGAATTCTTTTGCCTATTATTTGGAAATTTATCTTCCCTCCTCCCCTATTTGTGGACTTACACAATCATTTATTTATAGCAATATGGACTCGTGGCTGTGTGTTTTGTACTTTCATTATGATCCAATATTACATTATTTATTTTGTTGCTCACATAGTTTGTGACCTTCAGTGATCTTTCATTTGGCTTCTATGTTCATTTTCTTACTTTCTAACCTAAATAATGAAAATTAAGTTATTTTTTAAAATTGTTTTTTTTTTCCCACAAAATAAAAAGTGGAGAATTAGCACAGATACCTAGCCTAGTGTGATAAACCACTTACTGATATCAAAAGGGCCTAGATTCCTTCCATGGCTGTGCTCAGGGTCAATTTCATCCTAAGGACAATTTTCTTCCTCATCACAATATGGCTTCCAGTGGCAACAGGAGCTTTCACTTCTTTATTTCTCTCCAATAAGAATATTAAAATAATCCTCCCCTGAGCCAATAGTTAAGCCTTCCCTCTGTAACTGAAGAGAGATAGGTGGAAATAGATGTTGGATTTGCAACTAACAGTGTCTGTTTCATTCCACAATTGAACTAAACTCAACAGTTAAGTCTCATCTGTGTGAGCATTTAATCCAAGACAAAATGTATTGACAATAAGTTCAAATAAATCTATGAAGACTTACATGGAATTCTATATCTGTGAGTAAAGGGACACTAAACAGAGACACTAAACTAAGAATAGCTAGGAGATCCCAGAAAAGAAACATCAAAATTCAATACTAGCTTGTGTGATGTCCATATTCAAAGGCATAGGTCTGAAAATAAAGGAAGGTAGGGTGACATGCATAACACGTACATGGAGGAAAATGTGGGAGAAAAAATCACGGCATTGTGAAACAGTCTCTCAGACAAAATGCCTACCACAGGAGGTTTTAAATTAATAAGAAAAAAACATAAACCATTATTACAAAATTAATATGTGTAGTGGGGAAAAAATAAGTCTCCAAAATAAAATGCAGTTGCCAATAGCAGTTTCCCCAGGGTGCATAGTGAGAGTAGAGAGACAGCAGTTCCAAGGTATCTTCAAATTAATTACATTTTGAAAACACTCAGAAACATACAACGAGGTTTGATTCCCTGGCTAGTGGATGAACAATTCATTCATTCATTTAACAAATATTTAATGAACTCAAATAATGTACCAGGCACCATGCTAGATTTTGTGTCTCGAAGACAGCATCCAAAGTGATAAGAATTTAAAGGTAGCATGAAATCGTGCACATTTTTCTTCTGAACTCTAACCATCCCTTTATTAGTATGATTCCTGAATTTCCTCAAAGAACTCTCACTACACATCTTCCATCTTTTCTTGAATTACTGGCATGTTTTCTGAAATTTTTTCCAAATCCTTCTTGATCTTGTTTGTCTTCAGCCAGCATCAAGGTAATGAATTGTGGTAATGGTTATACACGCAACTCTGGATGTATCCTACAAACCACCGAATTGTATACTTTAAAAAGGTGAATTTTGTGGTAGATGATCTATACCGAAATAAAGTGGATATGGAAAAAAATGAACAAGGCAGATCACTGTATGTAGTAGCTCATTCCATATGAGCCTGTGCTCAGTCCAGCCTCAGCCTATCTTTCTGGAATCACCTATTTGTGTTACATTCCCCAGCGAGACTTCTGGATTTACCACCGGACTAGGGTACTTTGTGTGCTTATGTCATTCTTTTGCTCACACCATTCTCTGCAAATATTCCATTTTCTTTGAGTGTATCAAGAATCAACTTAAATTAATGACCTCTTTCTCCAAAAGAAGAAAGGGGAGAGAACATTTCCATGGTGCAAGAACAGCTAGAATTTGCAATCTCTAGGTTCGCCTTCCCCATAAAGACTTTACATTTCAAAATTGCCACCACTATACTGATCTAGACTGAACCCCAATATTACCCTCCATCCCTATAGCACAGCAAGGACCAGGATAGAACATTAGAGAGGATGGAAAGGCTGAGTGAAATTGAAACCAGAGTAACATGTATTTCAGGTAATAGAATCCACAGACCCATCCCATATTCCTCCTGACCTAGATAGAGGACCATCCCTAATTACCTGTCTCCTGGGTCCTTCCCAGGGGGCTTCTGCCTCCCTGTGAAAAGGAATATCCTCCCATCAGCCAGGTCACTCTGGGGCTCTCTCCAAGAGTCCAGACCCAAAAGGCTGGGATCTAGGAAGGAAGGAGTTCCTTTTATTTTTAGATCTGCCATCCTTTTTCTAAACAACTCAACTAAAATAGCATTTATCTCTGACCCCGCTTTACTTTCCAATGTAGCACTGCACTGTCAGGAAGCTGTCACATTCCTTATTTGTTTGATTGTTTGGTTTCCCAGGAAGACTTCTATATTAGGTTGCTGGGGCTGCCATAACAAAATACCATAGACAGGGTGGCTTAGACAACAGAAATCTGTTTTCTCTCACTTCTGGAGGCTAGAAGTCCAAGAACAAGGCATCAGCAGGATGAATTTCTCCTGAGACCTCTCTCCTTGGCTTCCTCGCTATGTCCTTATGTGATCTTTCCTCTGCACACACATCCCTGGTGTCTCTTTCCATGTTCAAATTCTGCTTCTTAAAAGAACACCAGTCAGAATGGCTTACGGCCCATCCTAATGGTCTCATTTTAATTTAATCACCTCTTTAAAGGCCCTGTCTCTAAATATGACCACATTCTGAGGTACTGGGGGTTAGGACTTCCACATATAAATTTTGGGATGGGGAAGGCTCAAATTAGCTCATAACAGTGTCTTGTGGCCTTATGAGGCAAGACTGCATTTGTTTTGTGTATTTTTATATCCCCAGTACCAGGAACAACAGGCTCTCAATAAATAAACTCAGTTCCTTTATCCTATCTGTGGTAGACAGAATTCTAAGATGGGTCTAAGATTTGCCCCCCTGTATAAATTCTCCCCTTTTAGTGTGGCAGGGCCTACAACTATGATGGAATATCCTCCCTGTGATTAGGTTATGGGATATGCCAAAGGTGAATTAATTTTGCAAATGTAATGAAGGTCCCTGATTGATTGACTTTAAGGATCAATGGAGACATGATCTTGGGCGGGCCTTACCCACTTAGATGGGTCCCCTAGAAGAAGAAGATTTAAAGTTCAAAGACAAGAAGCAGCAGAGATGCTCTCCTCCCCGCCCTCAAGAAGCAATTTTCCAGAATGAGAAGAGGGCCTCATGGCAGGGAACCATGGGTGGCCTCTAGGAGTTGCTTGCCTGGATTCACCACCACACGGAAGTGAATTCTGCCCACAACCAGTGAGTTGGGAAGAGAACCTCGCAGCTCAGACGTGATCACAGCCTGGAGGACAGCTTGAGATCCTGAGTAGAGGAATCATCTCATCCGTGCTCAGAATCCTAAACCATGGAAACTATGATGTAGTAAATATGTGGGGATTTTTTGTGTTTTGTTTTTGAAATAAGGTCTCACTCTCTTACCCAGATGGAGTCCAGTGGTGCAATCATAGCTCACTGCAGTCCCAGACTCCTGAGCCCAAGTAATCCTCCTGCCTCAGTCTCCCGAATAACTGAGTATGCCACTAGGCCCAGCTAATTTTTAAAAATTTTGTAGAAATGGGGTAGTGCTATGCTGCTCAGTCTGGTCTCAAACTCCTGGCCTCAAGCAGTCCTCACACCTCAGCCTTTCAAAGCTCTAGGGTTACAGGTGTGAGCCACTGCACCCAGCAATGTGTGTCATTTTAAGCCACTAAGTTTGCAGTAATTAATTATATAGCAATAATAATAATAAAACAAATAAGTGAATATACTATCCCACTATCTTCCTTCCTAAGGATGACTAATATTTGCAGTGTTCACACTTTTCAGCTGAGCCCACAACCCCTATAGAGTCAGGAAAGCTTAGCCCCAAAGATCTCCTGACCCTGTAGGAGTTGGACACTAGGGGAGGGTATGGAAGGCAGTATTATTTTCTTCTACTGTCTTTTGATGCTGACCTCAATTTTTAGCTTTTTCGTGGATTCTTCATAGTCCACGGGAATGACTTCCTTTTCCAACTCTATTTGTGTGTTGTATAACGTATGTGTATATATAATATGTATTATATGTAATACATTTATAATATATAACATATATTTGAGGTTTGTCATTAATTTTGACTTGCTATCTCACTATTAGCTGTTGTTTGTCTGTAAACCTTATCTTTCCAACTGGCGTGCAAATCCCTTCAATTCAGGGGTTTCAGGGGCCGTAGTGTGAAAAAGTAGAAGGGTCATAGTCATAGCGCCTGGAGAAAGTGAGTGTGAATCCCAAATCTGCTATTTACTAAAGTATAAAAATAATTGAACTTCAGAGGCTTTGTTTAATCTTTTTTGTTTCTAAACAAGATTGATAAATGTGACCTTGGATGAGAAATAAATACATGTAAATATCCTGGCATAGAGTAGGGCTCAATAGATGAAACAACTCATATTATTAAATTTCTTCACATTTTTTCCACTCATACATTTTTGCATATATTAGGCATTAGATAATGTTATAAGTTAATTCTAAAATCCATTTTGAAAATTATTCTACAGGACTTTTTTCTAACTTTTTTTTTATTCAGCCAAATATCCCTCTCCTCTTCTTCCTCCCAGATAACTTTATTATTATCCCAGTGCTTTCTAACTATTTTAACATCTTCTATCCCTGAGGAGACAAGGCCTTCCTTTAGAGCAAAAGTTTTTTGCTTTATTTATCTCTATGTCAAGTACATAGCTCACAAGGCTGTGTGTTTGATGAATGAATGAATCAAAAAATAAGTCATTCAATCAAAAGTGATTGTGGAATCATTGAAGCAAAGTGTTTCTCAATTTTAATAGGCTTGCTGCAAGAATAGATAGTAATTATTTCCACCTAAAAGAAGGAAGAGCTTGAGTTTTTGATGGATGAGTTTCACTGATGTAATATAGAGATTGGTTCTGGGTGAAAACATTGTCTCACACATTCATTCACCTTTCCTAACATTTCCCTTTGGTGGAAGAAATACCGCATGCCAAATCCTGGTTCTTTCTCAATATTTGCAATAGTAATGTGAAATGGGACAAGTGACCTATTCTCTAGAGGCCCAGTTCTTTCATTTCCATAAATGAACATGATTATGCTTCCCTCAGAGGACTCAGTCTCTGTAAGATAGATCAGGTGCAAGGGGCAGCACATGGCAAGCCTTCCACAAATACCCATCACCCATACCTCCCACCCATACTCCCTTGCCATTTCTTTTTTCTTTATTTCTTTTTTTGTTTTGTTTTTTTGAGATAGAGTCTCACTCTGTCACCAGGCTGGAGTGCAGTGGCACGATCTTGGCTCAGTGCAACCTCCACCTCCCAGGTTCAAGCGATTCTCCTGCCTCAGTCTCCCGAGTAGCTGGGACTACAGGTGCCTGCCACCATGCCCAGCTAATTTTTGTATTCTTAGTAGAGATGGGATTTCACCATGTTGGCCAGGATGGTCTCAATCTCTTGACCTCATGATCTGCCTGCCCGGTGTCCCAAAGTGCTGGGATTACAGGCGTGAGCCACCGCACCCGGCCTCCCTTGCCCTTTCTATACAGGTATTCTGAGGTTGCCTGCCTGAAACTCACAGACTGGCTTCTTATCGTTAATGAGGTACTTAGCAATCGTTTCAGTGCTAACTCCCAGTTCACGAGGTTGACATTCTGAATGTTTCTGAATATATTATTTATTTTAAGCAGGCTCTGTGTTACACTGGGCCTCTGTAAGCTTAAGTTTCTAATCTGTGAAACGGCAATGAGGATACCTCTGCCATAGGGTTGTTGTGAGGTTGGATATGGTCATTCATAAATTAGGGTTAATATTTTGAAATAAGACACTTGAGTGAGAAATGGTAGCTCCTCCAGAATCCTCATAAAATATTACTGGACCATCTTACCTATTTTTTATAAGGTGGGGGTTGGGTGTGAAGCTCCCTCACATAGATGTCATGTTGATAAATTAGAGTTCAATCCTGGGACTTCAGAACACAGAACAACACACTGTCATTTCTAGCATAAAAAATGGCAAGTGTTGCCAGACACTTAAATAAAAACTCTATTTGTACCTTATAAAAATATACACACTACCTGAAAATGAATGAGTGGCCTTTTTCCATTATGAAAATAATAAATGTATCCAATTTAGATGAGATAAAGTTGGAAAATTGACTATTTTATTTTCTATCAAAATAGCAAGAGAGACTTGAAACATTTGCATTTTAATAAAGCATTTGTAGGAAAATCTAACCGTGACCAAAATATAAAAATAAAAAATAAAATAGAAAGAAAATAAAAGAAAAAGAAAAAAAGGAAGGAAATTAAAGAAAACAAAAAAACAAACAAACAAAAACAACCAGGGTTTGATTAAACAAATGAACAAATTCTGAGAGGCATGAGTATTTTTCTTGCACATTCTCTCTCTCTCCACCCCTCCGCAGGAAGGAGATTTCTACATCTCCCAGTAATCGCATAGTGATCTTTGCTGACTTTCTTGAATCCTTCTGCAGAGGGGCTACTGCATTTGATTTCTATCAGCCCTTTGTAAATATACAGTTTGTGTTTCTGAATTCTCCCTGAGATTGTTATTTGCTTTCCTGTCATGATCATTCTTGAGAGCACAAACACTGAAAATATGTGGGCAAGGGAATAACACAAGTTAGTTTTCCCAACTGCTCGCTGGACTCTGTCTCCCAATACCTGAAGGGCTATTGAAAGAGAAACAGCTGAACTTCAGTACACCGGTTTTTCGTCATTGCATCATATGACTTCTAATAGCCTGAGCTTCTCAGGAAGGAAATATACAGCTTTGCAAAACAGTAGTCTCCTTGTTGCTAATTGTTTTCCAGCAGAAACTAAATGATACTGCATTTTTCAGTAGTCAAGAGGGTAGGTTATGTTCTTCCAACATAAATGGCCCTATGGATTGAAACACACACACATGTGTATAAACTTATACATAACTCTCTAAAAGCAAAGAAAGGAAACACAGAGGGGAGGGAGGAGATAATAACTGCTGCTATAAAAAACTACCTGAGACTGGGTAATTTACACAGAAAAAAAGTTTAAGTGACTCACCGTTCCATATGACTAGGGAGGCCTCAGGAAACTTACAATCATGGCAGAAGGTAAAGAGGAAGCAAGGTACATCTTACATGGCAGTAGGAGAGGGAGAGAAAGAGGGGAAGTGCCACATTTTTAAACCATCAGATCTTGTGAGAATCACACACTATCACAAGAACAGTGAGGGAGAAATCTGACCCCATGATCGAATCACTTCCCACCAGGTCCCTCCTCCAACCTGTGGGGATTACAATTCAAGATGAGATTTGGGTGAGGACATAGAGCCAAACCATATTAGTTGCTCTTGTAATTCCTACAGGTGTGGCTTCTCCCAGTGGAGAGCTGTCTCCTTTTTTGTACTTCACTTTTGTCACCTCAGGGATTCTTCTGGTGCCTGTCATCTCTCTCTCATTGTTTCTCTTTCCCTCTTGTGCATGTTATCCTGGTATTTGGATTCAAATTGATTAAAGACTTAAATGTTAGACCTAAAATTATGAAAAACCCTAGAAGAAAACCTAGGCAATACCATTCAAGACATAGGCATGGGCAAGGACTTCATGTCTAAAACACCAAAAGCAATGGCAACAAAAGCCAAAATTAACAAATGGGATCTAATTAAACTAAAGAGCTTCTGCACAGCAAAAGAAACTACCATCACAGTGAACAGCCAACCTAAAGAATGGGAGGAAATTTTTGCAATCTACCCATCTGACAAAGGGCTAATATCCAGAATCTACAAAGAACTCCAACAAATTTACAAGAAACAAACAAACAACCCCATCAAAAAGTGGGCAAAGGATATGAACAGACACTTCTCAAAAGAAGACATTTATGCAGCCAAAAGACACATTGAAAAAATGCTCATCATCACTGGCCATCAGAGAAATGCAAATCAAAACCACAATGAGATACCATCTCACACGAGTTAGAATGGTGATCATTAAAAAGTCAGGAAACAACAGGTGCTGGAGAGGATGTGGAGAAATAGGAACACTTTTACACTGTTGGTGGGACTGTAAACTAGTTCAACCATTGTGGAAGACAGTGTGGCGATTCCTCAAGGCTCTAGAACTAGAAATACCATTTGACACAGCCATCCCATTACTGGGTATATACCCAAAGGATTATAAATCATGCTGCTATAAAGACACATGCACACATATGTTTATTGCGGCACTACTCACAATAGCAAAGACTTGGAACCAACCCAAATGTCCATCAATGATAGACTGGATTAAGAAAATGTGGCACATATACACCATGGAATACTATGCAGCCATAAAAAATGATGAGTTCATGTCCTTTGTAGGGACACGGATGAAGCTGGAAACCATCATTCTCAGCAAACTATCGCAAGTACAAAATACCAAACACTGCATGTTCTCACTCATAGGTGGGAATTGAACAATGAGAACTCTTGGACACAGGAAGGGGAACATCACACACCAGGGCCTGTCATGGGGTCGGGGAAGGGGGGAAGGATAGCATTAGGAGATATACCTAATGTAAATGACGAGTTAATGGGTGCAGCACACCAACATGGTGCATGTATACATATGCAACAAACCTGCACGTTGTGCACATATACCTTAGAACTTAAAGTATAATTAAAAAAAAAAAGTGGGTAGCAAGTAATCTGCTTCCTAATGAGCTTCCCTTCATTTTTTGGCCTCAGTTTTCTATTACAGCTTCTCAAAGCATTATCAATCACTTCTCTGTGAATAAAGCTGTAAATTTTGTTTGTTTTATTTTTTCTCACTCTGTTACACTTTCTACTTTCTGTGCTTCTTTTGAGTGAGAACCTCGAAGAGAAGGAGGGTTAAGTGATACGATTCAGTCAGTAGTAACTTGCCACCATTAAATCCTGATCACTTATGTTTGTAAAATTATATGAAATCTTACTTTGTTTGACCTTTATAACCTCCTGCCTAGTTGTTAAGGTAGAAGCCACTATCCTGTTTTAAAGATGATGATGTTGAGATATATTAAGGTTGAGATGCAGAGCAAGTTTCAAAGTCAAGATTTAAATTTGTATCCTCAGAATAGAGGTTCAGCAATTCTAACTTGAGACTGTGCCAATTAATATCACTTCATTTCCACTCAAGGTTAATCCCAGGTGACACTCACCAGGACACTGTGAGATTGAACTTCCCAGCTGAACTGAGGAGGTGAACATTCACAAAATGAGATATGGACATGTGGCTCTGGGATTTTGTAGGAACCTAGAGAAATGAGGCTAAAGAATTTGCTTGAGTCTGAGCCCATTGGTCATAGAAATCTAAGGGCAAGGGAGCCTGAAAGCTATTTGGGTCACATTTAAAGTCATCTCATACCAAAGCCCGGGACTCAGTAGTGCTCAGTAAGTTTAATTACTTTTACCTCTTAATCCATTCTGATGTTAACATTAAGATTTTCAAATTCTGCATTTCTCTTAGTGAATTCCCTTTCATCAGAGTTTCCCTGCTATTTCTTTATCCAACACTCTTTTAAAGAAGGCAGTAAAAGAGTGATCAGACCATCAAATATTATCTCTCCCAAGAGGATGCACCTTGTAACAGGCTTAAATACCTTATAGGTAAGAAGTTCAACTATAAAGGTACAATTTGAGTCACAGGACATAGATAGAAACAACTATAAGAGACAAAAAGGCTTATGGGGAGGAATAAATCAGTGAAAATACAGAACGTTCTAGCTGAGCTATCAGCTAACAACTGGGTACCTTCAATCTACCCATCAGCATGCTTAGGCACTGGGAAGAAATAGAAAGATAAATATGTCTTGTCTTAAAATGGGGATGCATATGAACATTTTATCTACTTCAATTCTACAAACATTTACTGAAGGCCTGCTAAACACCAAGTCCTATGTTAGGAAGAAGTATACAGAGATCATGTCGAGACTCTTCTCCTCCATCAGCAGTTTCAGGAAGTGGGGGGCTTTCTCTGGATTTACATACAACTCTCCTCACTGTGAGATCCTGGTGATGTTGCTGGTGGAAAAGACTATGAAAGTGGACCCTCCCCCTCAACCATGACTGTGGCCCCAGGAGCTTCTCATCTCCAGCTAGCCTATGCTGGGGCTCTAGCAATTTTTTAAAATTCCTTGTTAGTGTTCCCCAGGCTGATGGTGTTCCACAGGTTCTACTCCAGAAAATAGAGGAAGAGGAAGTGTTAAAAGTCAGTGTGTTCTTGACTGCTCCTCCCAACTCCCACCCAGATCAGCACCTTCCATGTCTCCTGCATCAGCAGCCCCCGTGGCCCCAGTCTCTCTGGTATCCATCAATACCAGCTCGACTTCCTCAGGAGGGGGCCAATGACATCAGAGTACCATGGCAACCAAGATGCTAGCTTTACCTCAGGGAGCCAAATCAGTCATTACTTGTGTCCACCTAAAAATACTAGATCATGTTTGAAACTGTTTTGGAAACATATTTTCTATCTTTTAACGCATAATGGTTGCTGTCATCACTACTGTCACTATCATTCTCTTTATCTCAGAGAGATCTAAGCACAGTGCTTGCAAATAAATATGTGTGTTTAGGAAAAGGATGCACTAATTAGTGTGTCCAGTGTCTATTCCTTGGCATCTCAATCCCACCTAAGGGTAAAAATATGGGTAAAATCCCATATTTAAACAGGTTTCTAACAAGACTTAGTCTTATCAATATATAATAGATTGATTTCTAACAGGATGTACTATCTTATAAACATATAATAACCCCTGCTGGATTTGTAACAATTTGCCCATGGCTTACAAAGTATTTACAATTCTATCAATGTATTGGTTTTGTTTATATAGGCTTGTGCTGTACAAAAGTTGCAACGTGTGTGTATATTCTCAATTACGTCAATATTTCCATTTACGGTTACTCTTTTTTAAAGCTAATTCTTCCCAACTTTGAGGTTAAGTACATATTCTGTACATTTCTTTATTTTTAAGCTTTTGACTTTGAAATAATTCTAGATCTATAGGAAGTTGTAAATATGGTAGAGAAAGGTGCGATTTGTAGTACTATGTTATTTTTTATCACCTGTATACATTGGTAACCACTGCCCCAATCAGCATACAGAACATTCCATCCCACAAGGATCTTTCTCCTTCTACCGCTTTATAGTTACACCCACTTCCTTCCCCTCCACCATCCCTAAGCCCTGGAAGCTATTAGTTTATTCTCTTTTGGAGACAGTCTCGCTCTGTCACCCAGATTGGAGTGCAGTGGTGTGATCTCGGCTCACTGCAACCTCCGCCTCCCAGGTTCAAGCAATTCTCCTGCCTCAGCCTCCTGAGCAGCTGGGATTACAGGCGTGTGCCACCACACTCGGCTAATTTTTGTATTTTTTAGTAGAGATGAGGTTTCACCTTGTTGGCCATGCTGGTCTCAAACTCCTGACCTCAGGTGATCCGCCAGCCTCGGCCTCCCAAAGTGCTGGGATTACAGGCATGAGCCACTGCACCTGGCCTCCATTCTCTATTTTTAAACTTTTGTAATTTCCAGGAGGTTGGGTTATAGAATCATTCAGTCCATGACATTTTAAAATTGGCTTTTATCACTCGGTGTATGCCCTTGAGATCCATCTGAGTTGTTGAGTGTAACAATAGTTTGCCCTTTCTTATTTCTAACTAGTATTCCATAGCTTTAAGGTATTGAGGCTTGTTTAGACATTCACCTATTGAGGGGCCTATTGGTTTTTCTCAATTTTGATTATTACAAATAATTACAGTAAGTGTGAACATTAAAATTAATTAATAAGGGAAAATACTTGTCCTTTAGAGTAGCTAGAGATATAGCCATTATAAATCTGAAAATAACTAAGGCCTACCTTCTCTTTGTACTAAATATATATAAAGTGAGACAAGCTGGTGTGATGGCCATTTATGTGTTAACTTGACTAGGCTCTAGTTATTTAATCAAACTCTAATATAGGTTTTGCCAGGAAGGTATTTTGTAGAAGTGATTGAAATCCATAATCAGTTGACTTTCAGTAAGGAAGATTATCCTAAATAATCTAGTTGGACCTGATCCAATCAGTTGACAGGCTTCAGGAGCAGAACTGAGGCTTAATGAAGACATTCTATCTGTGAACAGCAGCTTCAGCTCATACCCAGCCGTCATTCCAGCCTGTTCTTCCTGAAGGCCTGTCATACAAATTTTAGACATGCATAACCAGCCACCCTCATTGTGTAAGCCAATACCTTGCAGTAAATATTGTAAAATATATCTCCTACTAGGTCTACTTCTTTGGCTGAACCTTCACTGAACAGGATAGGAGAGACTTTAGTGATCATTTAGTCCAGTGCATTTTCCAAATATTCAGTAGTCTCAGAACTTTTGAGATAACTTTGAAATTATCTCTGAAAGTCCATTGTGTAATGCAGACACACAGAACATAGGTGGGTTGCTAGAATTTTTCTTGCTGAAGTCACCTCTCCACTTCCAGGCCAGGTATCGTCAAAGAAAATCCATGTGTCACTTTCAGGAAACTTTTGAATGGAAGACCCTGAAATCAGAAAAGATTTATAATTATTTCTCTCATCTATCAAAATGAAAAAGACTGAATAATTCGTTGTGTGTTTAAAGCTCACTGCTGGCTGTAGGGTAGGAAAAATTGATATTTTATACAGTTTTAATTAGTCAATGAATTAGCCATTTCTATTACAATTTAAAAATGAGAGAAAATATCCAAAACTCCTGCTTCACTCTCACAAATATACTGCGGCATGAATATTAGGATATAAGTGCAAAGATGTGGAATATAAAACTGCTTTCAATGACAGAAAATTGGAAATGGCCTAAAATTATGTAAGTTGTAGGATTGTACATTCATTTTGTTGATTCTTTTAGGTAGTTAAATGGAGGGAATTGTATTGATGAATGGTGACCAAATTAATATTGATGTCATATTTTCTTCCACACAGTCTAATTTCTTTGTTAAGTTCCATCTTATTTTGGGGAGTGAGGAATGTTTTCAGTTGTGAGGACTGACCCATTTGCGCAGCTTTTTCCTGAAGTAAAGGTGAAAGAAGGAATAGAGAGTGCTGTCTGCAGGATGCCAAAAACTATCTTTGCTCCCTCTACAAATCATCTCTCTTGTGTTGGTGATGATTAGGCATAGGTGGAATTCAAGTTTGGTAAGACAAAGAGAATCAATGTGGTTGCCATTTCCCTATGTGTTCAGGGTCACAAGCATTTGTGACTACACAGCTGATGTTGTTCTTGTTGTTTGTGTGTATATTATACATGTTGGACAGCACATATTCCCATTCAAAAGGCAGACAGGCTGTTGTTTGGTTGTAGTTTATATATTAAGGGGAAAAAATTGATATTGACATTGTCTCAGTATAAAGATAATTGTGACTTATATCTCACAAGTGACATGGCTGACGTGACTTCTATCATGTTTCATGTTCTATTACATTTTTGACACTGGAAACAATCCTGACCACAAACCCAGGGCATCACATTGAGATGGTGAGGAAGGCACGTTCTCCCCAGCTCTTGCTTTCTTCCTTTCCCTCTTACTCTCAATGCATTGGGAAATGTGAACGAAACTGCATCCTCCTTGATAGGGAAGCTAAGCTATGGATGAGTAGGGTAATAGAGCCAAAATATAATATACTCCTAAGTTCTGTTGTACTCTGTATTATTCATTGTCTGTATTATTCAATGTCTGCAGTACCCTTTTGTTTTAGGAAGAGACGTTGAAAACCTCTTATTGTTCTTAGATGTTTTCCTTTTCCCTAGTCCCCTTGACTGGTAATAGGAAAGCAGAGACAAAGGCAAAAATTAAAGTGAGGACTCTTTATTTGTGAGGTGCAAGCCCAGGGTTGTGATGGTGGGGAAGAAGGGACATGGGGCCAGGAAAACTGAAAAGCAGCCAGTGCAATGTGTTACTACTTGGGCGATGTGTATCACTAAAAAGCCAAAGAGGAATTGAGGGCTGGAAGTGGGAATCCTAGCAAGTAGCTCACTTCCCCAAGGTGGGACCATGCTTTCAGCAGTACCAGCTCTTCCAGGGATGATCTAAGAACTGGGTTCTGTAATCTCTGAACACTTCAGCCAAGTGCCTGGAGGAGAGGGTTGAACTGGACTGAACTGAATTTGTCTCTGATATAATGGAACTGGAGGTTTGCTTTGGTATTCATTTTAATCATGTTTTGCCATCATAAAGCAAGTAGGGGGCAAAAGCAGTGTGATTCACCTCTTGTCCCCCAGCCCCATCTGGATCTTGACTGTGAGTAGAATGCCAGTGTCACCATCCTCACATGTCTCTGAGACTGCTCCCCTTGGCTCTCTCAGAGGGCAGAGTGAGATCTGTGTGATTCTGGGGTAATATTTCTGTCCCTTGTCTTCTCCTGTTGGGCTACTGGCTGTGGGTGACCTTGGGTTGAAGTTCCTAAAATTCCTCCATCTGTAAAATGTGAAATATGATGCCTTTGACCTACCTCGGTGTGTGATAGGTGGCAGTGGACTGTATGAGGTCTAATGAGTTAACATTTACAAAATGCTAGGAGCTATTTTAGAGAATGGCATTCTCTAAGGACAAAACATCGTTATTCATTACCCAGAATGCACACAAATAAAATAAGAGCGTTTCAGAATAGGAAGACTGATGCAGGGAGCTGTATCTGCCCTGTGTGAAAGACAGGTTGGAGATTAATTCAACGGATAAACTGTTTTTAAAACCCGGCAGTTTCATGCTAATGAAAAAGAGGCCCACAGACTATATTTTGGTCTAGCGGTCACAGCAGAACTGGAAATGCCAAACTGGCATGATTCACTTCTAGTGTTCCCTCTCAGTTTTATTGAATACCTCCAGGCTATGCAGCCTAAGATTTCCGGAAGGAAAATAACACTGTATATAAGTGTAATGATATGAAGAATACAGTCTTCTGCATCTGTATCACTCATAATAGATGTGATATAGAGGCTGCCTCCACCAGAGATCAGACATCTGATTACACATCTCTGGTGCCTTCCAACTTGGCTTCCTCACCAGTCAAGTTTAACTCTTTCACTACACACTCTGCTAACCAGATGGTATAATATATTGTATTATCTGAGTGTAGCCTGCTGATGGAAGAACTTACACCTATTAATTTATAATAGTTTCTTTCTCTCTCTCCATATATATATGTAATGTGTATATATATATTTATATATGTATATATGTGTATTTATATGTATATGTGTATATATGTATATATTCATGTATACATGTATATACGCACTGATATAAATATCTGTATATATATTTATATTTACAGGATATAAATATTTATAAGGATATGTAGCTTATGTCTCTATCTTGGTTTTCCATATCGCTTCTTACATTACAAAGAGTTTTCATCTCATATACTTCTTGTGATTTGCCAATTATGTATTTGAACATAATTTAAAATTGTATTTATTTTATGAACAAAGACTATGTATATGCCAAATGCTAACCCAATTACTAAAGACACAACAAGATTTCTGGTTTCACGGATCTTGTATCTAAAAGGGAAAGTAAAACAATAAAAAATAGAAAGCCAGATGGGCTGAGTGCTGGATAGGCAACTGATCAAGTTAACATGATAGAGAGTGAAAGGACAGAAGGGCTATATTTGATACAATAACCAAGGAAGGCTTCTTAGAGGAGGTTACACATGAGCAAATTTGAAGGCTGAGAAGTCAGCTGTGCAAAGATAGAGGGAAAAATCACCTTCAGTAGAGTGGGCAATAAATGCAGAGGCCTCCAGAAGCAATAGAGCTTTGTACTTTAGGGGTTGGAACAAAGGCCAGAGGCCTGGAGCAAGTGGAACAAAGAGATGAGATGAAGTCTTAGAAGAAGCTTTGCAAGGCCCAGCATGGGGGTTGTAATTTATTCTTCATGGGACGAGAGGTCGTAGGAAAACTTTAAGAAGGAGATTGATGAGATTTTATTTAATAGGGTGTCCATATGTCCTTGTTTGCCAGAGAAAGCTCCAATTTGTGAGTGTTGTCATGGGGAAACTATGATTGGAATAGTTTCAGAAGGAATGGTACCAGCTCCTCCTTGTACCTCTGGTAGAATTCAGCTGTGAATCCATCTGGTCCTGGACTTTTTTTGGTTGGTAAGCTATTAATTATTGCCTCAATTTCAGAGCCTGTTATTGGTCTATTCAGAGATTCAACTTCTTCCTGGTTTAGTCTTGGGAGGGTGTATATGTCAAGGAATTTATCCATTTCTTCTAGATTTTCTAGTTTATTTGCATACAGGTGTTTATAGTATTCTCTGATGTTAGTTTGTATTTCTGTGGGATAGGTGATGATATCCCTTTTATCATTTTTTATTGCGTCTATTTGATTCTTCTCTCTTTTCTTCTTTATTAGTCTTGCTAGTGGTCTATCAATTTTGTTGATCCTTTCAAAAAAGCAGCTCCTGGATTCATTGATTTTTTGAAGGGTTTTTTTATGTCTCTATTTCCTTCAGTTCTGCTCTGATCTTAGTTATTTCTTGCCTTCTGCTAGCTTTTGAATGTGTTCGCTCTTACTTCTCTAGTTCTTTTAATTGTGATGTTAAGGTGTCAATTTTAGATCTTTCCTGCTTTCTCTTGTGGGCTTTCAGTGCTATAAATTTCCCTCTACACACTGCTTTGAATGTGTCCCAGAGATTCTGGTATGTTGTGTCTCTGTTCTTGTTGGTTTCAAAGAACATCTTTATTTCTGCCTTCATTTCGTTATGTACCTAGTAGTCATTCAGGAGCAGGTTGTTCAGTTTCCATGTAGTTGAGCGGTTTTGAGTGAGATTCTTAATCCTGAGTTCTAGTTTGATTGCACTGTGGTCAGAGAGACAGTTTGTTATCATTTCTGTCCTTTTACATTTGCTGAGTAGTGCTTTACTTCCTTCTATGTGGTCAATTTTGGAATAGGTGTGGTGTGGTGCTGAGAAGAATGTATATTCTGTTAATTTGGGGTGGAGAGTTCTGTAGATGTCTATTAGGTCTGCTTGGTGCAGAGCTGAGTTCAATTCCTGGATGTCCTTGCTAACTTTCTGCCTCGTTGATCTGTCTAATGTTGACAGTGGGGTGTTAAAGTCTCCCATTATTATTGTGTGGGAGTCTGAGTCTCTTTATAGGTCTCTAAGGACTTGCTTTATGAATCTGGGTGCTCCTGTATTGGGTGCATATATATTTATGATAGTTAGCTCTTCTTGTTGAATTGATCCCTTTACCATTAGGTAATGGCCTTCTTTGTCTCTTTTGATCTTTGTTGGTTCAGAGTCTGTTTTATCAGAGACTAGGATTGCAACACCTGCCTTTTTTTTGTTTTACATTTGCTTGGTAGATCTTCCTCCATCCCTTTATTTTGAGCCTATGTGTGTCTCTGCACATGAGATGGGTTTCCTGAATATAGCACACTGATGGGTCTTGACTCTTTATCCAATTTGCCAGCCTGTGTCTTTTAATTGGAGGATTTAGCCCATTTACATTTAAGGTTAATATTGTTATGTGAATTTGATCCTGTCATTATGATGTTAGCTGGATATTTTGCTGGTTAGTTGATGCAGTTTCTTCCTAGCCTCGATGGTCTTTACAATTTGGCATGTTTTTGCAGTGGCTGGTACCAGTTATTCCTTTCCATGTTTAGTGCTTCCTTCAGGAGCTCTTTTAGGGTATTCCTGGTGGTGACAAAATCTCTCAGCATTTGCTGGTCTTTAAAGGATTTTATTTCTCCTTCACTTATGAAGCTTAGTTTGGCTGGATATAAAATTCTGGTTTGAAAATTCTTTTCTTTAAGAATGTTGAATATTGGCCCCCACTCTCTTCTGGCTTGTAGAGTTTCTGCCGAGAGATCAGCTGTTAGTCTGATGGGCTTCCCTTTGTGGGTAACCCATCTCTCTGGCTGCCCTTACCATTTTTTCCTTCATTTCAACTTTGGTGAATCTGACAATTATATGTCTTGGAGTTGCTCTTCTCGAGGAGTATCTTTGTGGCGTTCTCTCTATTTCCTGAATTTGAATGTTGGCCTGCCTTGCTAGATTGGGGAAGTTCTCCTGGATAGTATCTTGCAGAGTGTTTTCCAACTTGGTTCCATTCTCCCTGTCACTTTCAGGTACACCAGTCAGATGTAGATTTGGTCTTTTCACATAGTCCCATATTTCTTGGAGGCTTTATTCGTTTCTTTTTATCCTTTTCTCTCTAAACTTCTCTTCTTGCTTCATTTCATTCATTTGATCTTACATCACTGATACCCTTTCTTCCAGTTGATCTAATCGGCTACTGAGGCTTGTGCATTCGTCACATAGTTCTCTTGCCTTGGTTTTCAGCTCCATCAGGTCCTTTAAGGACTTCTCTGAATTGGTTATTCTAGATAGCCATTTGTCTAATTTTTTTTCAAGGTTTTTAACTTCTTTGCCATGGGTTCGAACTTCCTCCTTTACCTCAGAGTAGTTTGATCTTCTGAAGCCTTCTTCTCTCAACTTGTCAAAGGCATTCTCCATCCAGCTTTGTTTTGTTGCTGGTGAGAAGCTGTGTTCCTTTGGAGGAGGAGAGGTGCTCTGATTTTTAGAGTTTCCAGTTTTTCTGCTTTGTTTTTTCCCCATCTTTGTGGTTTTATCTACCTTTGGCCTTTGATGATGGTGATGTACAGATGGGGTTTTGGTGTGGATGTCCTTTCTGTTTGTTAGTTTTTCTTCTACCAGTCAGGACCCTCAGCTGCAGGTCTGTTGGAGTTTCCTGGAGGTCCACTCCAGACCTTGTTTGCCTGAGTATCAGCAGTGGAGGCTGCAGAACAGCGGATATTGGTGAACAGCAAATGTTGCTGCCTGATCGTTCCTCTGGAAGTTTTGTCTCAGAGGAGTACCTGGCCGTGTGAGGTGTCAGTCTGCCCCTACTGGGGGGTGCCTCCCAGTTAGGCTACTCGGGGGTCAGGGACCCACTTGAGGAGGCAGTCTGTCCATTCTCAGATATCCAGCTGTGTGCGGGGAGAACCACTACTCTCTTCAAAGCTGTCAGGGACATTTAAGTCTGCAGAGGATTCTGTTGTCTTTTGTTTGGCAATGCTCTGCCCCCAGAGGTGGAGTTTACAGAGGCAAGCAGGCCTCCTTGAGCTGTGGTGGGCTCCACCCAGTTCGAGCTTCCCGGCTGCTTTATTTACCTACTCAAGCCTTGGCAATGGCAGGGGCCACTTCCCCAGCCTCGCTGCTGCCTTGCAGTTTGATCTCAGACTACTGTGCTAGCAATGAGGGAGGCTCCGTGGGCGTAGGACCCTCTGAGCCATGCGCAGGATATAATCTCCTGGTATGCCATTTGCTAAGACCATTGGAAAAGCGCAGTATTAGGGTGGGAGTGACCTGATTTTCCAGGTGGCCTCTGTCACCCCTTTCTTTGACTAGGAAAGGGAATTCCCTGACCCCTTGCACTACCCGGGTGAGGCAATGCCTTGCCCTGCTTCAGCTCATGCTCAGTATGCTGCACCCACTGTCCTCAACCCACTTTCCAACACTCCCCAGTGAGATGAACCTGGTACCTCAGTTGGAAATGCAGAAAACACCCGTCTTCTGCGTGGCTCATGCTGGGAGCTGTAGACTGGAGCTCTTCCTATTCAGCCATCTTGGCTCCACCCCTCAGTCCAAGTTGTTGTCAATTCTTAATCCCTGACACTCATCTGCAGGACCACTGAGCGGCTTCCACCCTTAAGGGGTACAAGGTGCAGAACAACATGCTCCCAGAGAGCTAAGGCACCCCGACACTGAGTCAGGCATTTAGGATGGCAGCATTTTGGTGAGGAGGCATCTTCTCCGTAGTCTAGCCAGACACATCTCATCGCGCCTCTGATTCTGTTTTGATAAGTGTCTTCCTCAGAAATATGCCCTCAAAATCCCTTGTACTAGGAGGCATTGCTGCCTTGATTGCTACACATCTGCCTGTTGTTGCTTTCTCCTTTACTCTGCTTTTTGGCATTGTGCGCCTTTCTCTTAACTAGTCACTAGTTAGTGGGAAATCACACTTCTTTCCACAGTAAAACACCACAAGACTCCAGCTGCAATAAAAGCAGAGCGTGCACAAAGTTTGTGGTCACATGGGGCTGCCCTCCCATCTACAGCACTGCTTGGAGGTGGTTCCACTACCCTGCTAGTTACCCGGAGAGTGTTGTTCCCTTCCATGTGCAGTTCTGAGCTCAGTCTCACAAGTGCCTAGTTGGGCATCCTCTGCTTCAGTGAGCTACAGTAGCGGACCAAGGGGGTTGGGGGACAAAGACTCATCCCATCTTAACTCATCTGAGAGGCTTGAAAGAGATGATGTCTATATTCTAGTAATAATTATTTTGTGTAATTTATTTATTAGAGATTATTATTTTATTCCTCCTCCTGCTCCTCCTCCTCCAACGTCATTGTCTTGCTCTTGTCAACCAGGCTGGGGTGCAATGGTGAGATCTCAGCTCACTTCAACCTCCACCTCCCGAGTTCAAATGATTCTCCTGCCTCAGCTTCCCGAATAGCTGAGATTATAGGTGCCCGCCACCACGCCAGGTTAATTTTTGTATTTTTAGTAGAGACGGGGTTTCACCATGTTGGCCAGGCTGGTCTCAACCTCCTGACCTCATGATCCACCTGCCTCAAATTACTAAAAACAAACAGACACACAAACAACAAACAAACTTAAGATAGGGCTTGACACCATGATTTAGTGAATGTAAATTAACCAAACACATGGAAAAAAATTGTTAAATGGTCAATATTCTTGCCCTGCTCCCAAGAGAAGGATTAATCAGCATCCGGCCTGTTTGTCAGCATCTTTCATTCCTCTTCCTGAGCCTGCCCTCCCAGCTGCTCACACTAACAGCTGCAGATGTTCCCACCTGCAGCCCCACCCAGTCTTGCCTGGTCCCAGAGCCAGTCACTAATAATACCAAAGCGTTTCTTATTTGCTTCAATCCTGCAGGTTCCAGCAGAGCTGGGATACTGTTACCCATCTCCTATTGTTTATACTGCTTTACCAAATCTAAAGTGTCTCTAATTACAGGATTGAAAATTATGTTAACTGCCTTTCTCCAAGTGAAGGATTAAGTATGTTTTTTCTGTTCTTCATTCTGCTATATTTCTCAGCCAATTCAGTTGATGAGTGCCTGTGTCCTCATCTATATCTGAACATTAAGTAAGTCTCTGTGTATTACAAATAATTATCAATACTGCAGATAAGGCATTCCTTCCATCCCAGGTTATAGATACTATTGATTTAGTCATTACTTTCTGAATTTCTCATTTTCTGGGCTTGAAGATTTGCTTTGCCCAGCGTTTGTGAGAATTGTGTTGCTGAGTTTTAAATAGAGTCCTCAGTCAACCCTGCATCACATCCCAAGCAGAGAGTAAAGAGAGCATTGTTTCCTTTTTCCAGTGATCAACTTCTGTTTCAGCTTAAAGAAAATCATTAACCGTCCTGTTTGTGGGTGACATTTGATCACTAATTTGCTAAGTGTGGGCAGAGAATGTGCTATACATTCTCACTCCATTTTTAAAAACAGAAATTGCTCAAGTGAAGCCTCATGCCAGCAGGGTTCTAGTAACAGGGTGTGGGACTATATAGGTTTGAACCTGCTCTTTATTTAGAGAGACCACACAATTTCTAGTGAAAATCAGGTGTGAGAGAAAGCAGACTCCTGAAAAATCAAGGCAAAGAGACAGTGTTCAGCAACCTTACATGGAAAAGCCTGATATACAGGAAAGCTTTTTGTTTGTATGTTTGTTTCATTGTTGCTGTTTTTTAAATTTTTAATTTAATTTTTTTTAATTTTCCCCTTCTCCATGCAGTAGTGGCATAGATTTGATTTACTTTTGGTGCCAAAGAAGAATCCTTCTTTCTATAGAAAGCCCATACTGAAGACTTCTGGCAAAAAAAAAAAAAATGTATTTCCCTCTGCCAGTGCTGTCAAAGCAAAGATGGAAAATATCAGGACTGACATACAGTACCTGCTCTCCTATCAACCGTTTATGAACTAAGGCAGGTTACTTAGGCACTTTGGATTCAATTAGCTACAACATTTGCATAATCCAATGTTTCTTTTAGCGCCAGAATTTATAAGATAAACAAATACTTATTGCTTTGCTTAAAGTATTATTGATACTGAAATCTATCAAAAGACCATTGTTCTGTGGGAACAATAAGGAACTGAATCTGTATTAGGCTAATGAAAGCCTGTTTATGGAAAATTTCAGAATATATGAGGAGACCCAAAAGTAGGGTGTTTAAATGAGAATACTGGCCTTTTGAGAATAACAAAAAAGAATGGTAAATATATTTAGGGTTAGTTGTGTAACATATAGTCACTTGTTGTTATCTATTTCCAATGGCAGCAAAAGAAAATGAAGTTTTGCCCCAGCCATTTATACCAGGCTCCCTCTTCAAACTGTAGAGAATGTCAGTGACCACAGGAATAAGGTAGAGAATAAGATTCTGACTTCAGGTGTCAGGCTCTGTGGGACCTTGGGAAAGTCAGATACATGTTTGTCTGGTTTTTTTTTCTCTATAGAAAGGGAACAAATAATAGAAAATATTTAGTAAGTTTGTTGTAAGGATTAAATAAAATAATTGTAAAGCACATAGCGTAGCACCTGGTACATAATGAAAATTCAACAAACATTAATTGCAATGATGATATTGGTAGTGGTGGTAGTGGTGGTGGTGATAGTGATGATAATGACTCTCTTTGAAACTAAACCTCATTGGTGTTGTTTACAATGTGAACTGATATAGCTGAGGAGGTATCATATGAACTTCTCAGCGTTCAGAATACATTAAAAGGTACATCTCACTTTCTAGACTCCTTCTTTTGAGATTTTACTAAGCATTTCTTAATGCCACCTGCCCCAAACAAATCACTATATCCCTATGAGGCATTGAAACAGTATATACAAGTTGTGTGTGATCAGAAAATTATAATATTAACATAGGGACAGAAATCAGGCTTCCACTTAGTACAATGAAGCTGATTCCAAGGCAGTTTACTATGGTTTGGCCATGTGCCCATTTCTGCCTTCTGATCCCTGTGTTTAATTGGAAGGGATTTATCCATTTGTTGGTTTGGCCTGCTATGGACTGGACTCTGTCATCTTTTTTTTCCCCATCCAACCATCTTTATATTGAGTCTTACTGTGACCTGCTATAGAAAAGTTATGCTGTGACTTGTAGCACCCCTTCTCTTTTCCTTCAGGACTAATATAAATTATTACTCTGTCATATTTAAGCAGCAGCATGAGGAGCTGGAGTTACATGTTGGAGCAAACAAAAATGCCCAGTGACGTAGGTTGAAAATATTTAAATAACCTGAGGTACCTGGGATCTTGTTTCTAGGCATTATGGATGGTCTTTGATAATATACAGCTGTGAGCATTCAATTTTCCACAACATCCCATAGTAGCACATCCCTAGCACATTGCTAACCCATTTCATAATTAAGCTTTTGCTTCTTGCTCCTTGGCCCACAAGACACTATTATAGAAATATATAAACATGGTTATAGAAATAAAAGCAGGGATTTATTGTTGTTATTGCCCACACTTCCCAGTAAAAGCTATAATATATGGTGTGGTAATCCATTTTATTGGTACACCATGTCAAATGAAATTGCTAGTGCGTAGAGAAATTGAGAGGCCTGAGAATGCGTATGTGTAAACATTCTTCTAGCAGCCAAATTTTTGCAAATGGAGAACCAATGGTAAGGAAAGACAGAATAAAACAACTACTTCATAAGCCAAGTTGGACATAGATTTAAGAAAGTATAATTCTCAGTAGTATCTATGAATACCAAGATGGCTTCTGCATACAGAAATTGGTCTGTATCATTCTTTGAGGATGAGAAATCTAAAACCATGATTCTAATGATTTTAAATTTTTTAATAACTGGAATTAAGTTGCCAGTTTTGTTATTCGGTCACATGAATATTTTTTTAAATAATCAGATCTACCATCTGTTATCATCACTGTTTCATAATCAAAACAGTGACTTATCAAAAAGAATTTTAAAAAAACATTGAAAGTCCTTTATATGTTTATTGGCCACTTGTATGTCTTCTTCACTAATTATCAGAGAAAGCCAAATCAAAACCACAATGAGATACCATCTCACACCAGCCAAAATGGCTGTTATTAAAAAGTCAAAAACAAAAAACAAAAAACAAAAAAACAGATGCTGGAGTTGCTTTGGAGAAAAGGGAAGGCTTATTCACTTTTAGTGGAAATATAAATTACTTCAACCATTGTGAAACGCAATTTGGAGTATATATCCAGAAAAAAGAAAATTGTTCTACCAAAAAAACAACCGTACTAGTATATTGATCACAGTGCAATTCACAATACCAAAGATAAGAAATCAATTTAGGTGTCTATCAATGGTGGACTGGATAAAGAATATGTGGTACACATACACCATAGAATACTGCCCAGCCTTAAAAATGTAATGAAATCATGTCCTTTGTAGCAACATGGATGCAGACTGAGGCCATTATCTTAAGCAGATTAACAAAGGAACAGAAAATGAAATATCACATGCTCTCACTTATAAGTGGGAGCTAAACACTGTTTACTCATGGACATAAAAATGGGAGCAGACATTGGGGAGAGATGGAGGCAGGCAGGGGCTGAAAAACTACCTACTGGGTTCGATCCTCACTACCTGGGTGGCAGGATCATTTGTACCCCAAACCTCAGCATCACACAACAAACTCATGTAACAAACCTTCACATGTACCTCCCAAACCTAAAATAAAAGCTGAAATTAAAAAGAAAATAGAAAATCCTTCAAATAGATTACATGGAACTACTTGAAAAACTCATGATGTTGTCCTTATGTTTTTAATTTTGCTATAGTTGTAAAAGTTTTTGCCAGACTTGCACTACTCCACAGGGCAACATTTGAAATTCATGACACTTATGTTGGTGCCTGTATGTCACCAAGAGTCAGGGGTTTATATTCTTCTCATTCATGACTCTTGGTGAGATTAATTTCTACCCCTGGCTCCATAGGCAGTCATGGAACTGGTATGTATTCAGCAGGGCACTGCTCAAGATGAGGTTTTCAAAGTTCTGTGCTAGCAGGAAGACCCTTCTAGACTTACTAGCACATGCATGCTCTTAGCACAGAGGATGCCTCTGAGGGGTGAGCCACCAGTGAGGCCAATCAAGGGGACACTCAATACTTGACAAAGCAGAACCCCATTGTTTGCTATGGCATCTATATTTCACAGTGCACTCAAAAGCAGCTTTTTATTTAGCAATTTTGGGGGGACTCCATTGCTTTATATTACAGCTACTCAGTACCTGGCATAATACAAGCTCATACTATCATTTTTCAAGCCATTAAATGTTAACTTCATTTGCTTATATGAATTATGCTTTGCTCTTTTAGTTTTGTAATGAAAAATAAGTACAGGTTATGCAAGCAATAACCCCTGTGTACGCAGCAGCTATCTTTCTAAACGGTTTATTATGCCACAGTCTGGTACTCCATTAAATATAGATTACAGACTGTTGAATAAATGAATATCAACTAAGCTTCCCCGTCCTTCTGTACATATCAAGGCAAATAATGAATTGTGGCATCTCATGAAAATGGAAAACTAAGAAGAGTGGGTCAAGAAGTAATTACACATTTGTCTTATCTCATGCTTCTTGCCCTCAAAACAGCTGAATACATCATGTGGCGGAGGGGATGGTGCAAAGATACATCTGATCTGTTATTATCAGTAAAAGCATGCCCTCTACTCTTGTTTTCTTTCTCTTCACAAATTTTTATGTGGGAGGGGCCACCTTGGACCTAGTATTCACTTCTGTTTACTTTCACCAAGCTCTATGAATTAAGACCTGAAAGCTTCATCATAGCTCTTTGAAAAGAGAAAATGTTGTCATGTAATTATCCCTGTCTTGCACTTGGTGCTTGGGTAAGCACTTGCCTCTCTTCACCCATATTGAAATTGGAAACTTCTGAGCCAGAGAAAATAGGACAATGCCATGGCCCAAAAATGAACGGACATTTCTATTCCTTCTCTTCTTCTCTGACTTGAGACTGGTCGCTTCAGTCAGCCTTCCTTCTAGAGGTCTGCGGCCCTTATGAATTC